>NC_000003.12:126432846-126584361 GCF_000001405.40 Homo sapiens | reverse complement strand
CTCGCTTTGTTGCCCAGGCTGGTCTCGAATTCCTGGCCTCAAGTGATCCTCCTGCCTTGGTCTCCAAGAACGTTGGGATTACAGATGTCAGCCATTACACGTGGCCCAAATTGATATTTAATCAATGCTCAAAGTATACATTGAACAGATACCAAATGGTAGACACTGGTTGCATGAAAAGTATGTAACAATAGAGACTGGGGATGTCACATGTTTCTAGCTAAAGTGGCTGAGGACAGGATGAATGAAGGGAGATGAGAATCTAGGTAGAAGAGCAGGTCTGAGGGGTGTGTGTGTGTGTGTGTGTGTGTGTTTATCCAGAATTAGGCATCTGGGATGCAGTGTCACAGAATTTGCCCATTAGCAGACTGTGATTTTATTAACTCTCCTGATTAATCAATGTTTCCCATTAGCACTGGCAGACTGTATACTTGGGTTTCATTCTTTAGTCCCAGCATGACACTGCCATGTGAACAGTATGCAGGAAGAGATGTGTGGGAATTAGCTTCCAGCACTACTGATGGCTTTATTTCTGTGATTTGAACCACCTGTCTTGGGCTCCTATGGGCTGTACCAGGTCATCTATGACCCTGGCCACCCAGGTTTCTCAACTCCTTCAATTTCCCTCCAGATTCAAAGATGATCCATGATTGTCGCGTTTGAGGAGCAACTCAGTTGCTCCGTTTCACTTCTGTTGTCAAGCTACCTGCCACATGAGTGGGGAAAACATTTCATCATATTATGGCTTTCTTGGGAGCAGTTTCTATCTTAGGAGTGAATGCAGAGTGGCAGTTTTGTTCTTGTTTGGGGGCTGATGAAAATCCTTGGGTGAAGTCACTGCAGGATGTTAGCTGTGCGGGCTGAGTGGATGTAAGTGAACATATTCGGTGCACCGCTCCTGGCAAACATGCTGTGACTCTATTGCCCCAAATTGTCTTCTTAGAGCACAAAATGTTTTCTTAATATGTTTCTTTTGTGTGATATAAGTGACTATGGACTACTGAAGACTTCAGCTGTTCCCTGGAGGTTGCCTGATTATACTAGGTAGGAAACATTCTCTGCCTTGTTAACTTACCTTCATCCCTTTCTACAGCAAGAAGCCTGTGATGATTTTATAAGGTGGTATATGTGACTTCTTTAAGCTATAAGTCAGTGAATTCATTTAATACCATTGACAGCCTTAGCTAGTGCCATGCTATGGTGTTAGGAAATCACCCTTGTTTATTCGGCCATTGTTGTGACACAAGACCCAGTCCTGCATAGGGGATTATGTGTGGTCTGCACCCTCAAAGAGTTTATAATTGACTGGGAATACCAGGCACAGGTAAACAGTCAACTGCACAGATTGGTTTTGTCATGTGCAGGGAAGGGAATGAATATTGAATTCTGCAGTAAGCTGAAGTCATGCTGGGTTTATACATTCATCTAACCATCTCAACAACACTACGAAATACAGATGAGGAAACTGTCCACAGGGAGAGTGGCCCTCCTTTGGAGCCATGTTTCACACCTCAGCCTGTTGATTCCAAACTCATTCTTTTTCCACTTTATCAAGGCAGCATGAGATAATGTTAATAAATTAATAGATAGGACTCAGTTTATATTTCATGTGATCAGAACATTTTACCCGTTTTTGGACAGGTTTAATTTGTCTGCCATCTTTTGCTCATGAAAATTGCCATAAAAAATAAACAGTTTGAAAGGTATACATTATTTAAAAGCAGAGACCTATCTTCACTTAGTATTTCTTCTACTGATGGAAGTCTCAAAGTGATCAAAGACCATGCTGTGGGTTTTACAGCTGTTCATACAAAGCCCTCAGGCATAACTTCTCTGCCGTCTGTTCTGGTTGTGATCTTCAATATAAAGAGCCAGGACTCAAGTCATTCCCCAGCTGCGACAGATGTCCAGGGAATGCACCTCTTGCTTATTGGGAGAATAGGGGCTTGCCCCATCTGCTCTCGAGTCACTCACTGCTGCAGGTTGCTGCTGGATTTGTCTGCTTCTCTTGGAACTCTCGGAACTCATATTGCTTCCCTGCTGCCCTCTGCATGGCTCTCTGTGCCACCTAGCCACTTTCCTCATGGCCAGACATCTCTTTCAGCTCAGTGCTAGGACCCATATTTATATATTTTAATCTCTAGGAAGTTAAGCCATTTTCCATCTATGTTGTAAGTAGGGGGAAAACCCACAAGAAACAAATGAAAAGAAAATGCCTTAACTCACTTTTATCTGTTTTCGGCTTCAGCCAGAAGAACTTTAGCATTTCTCGCAGGTCTGGTAGAGACTGATTTCCTCAGCTTTTGTCTATCTGTAAATGTCTTTATTTCAATTTCATTTTTGAAGGTTATTTCTGCTGGATGGAGAAGTCTAATTAGACATTTTCCCCCTTTCAGCACTTTAAGGATGCAGTTCCTTCATCTTCTTGTTTCTGTTGTTACTGATGAGACATCAGCTGTCGCCCTTATTGTTTTCCTCTTATGTAATGTATCTTTTTCCCATTCTCTGCCAGCTCTTAAGATTTTTCTTCTTTATTTTTAATTTTCAGCAGTTTGGCTCTTATGTACCTATAGATGTTTTTCTTTGTACCTATCCTGCTTGAGCTTTACTGAGCTTTTGGATTTGTAGGTTGATGTCTTACACCAAGTTTGGAAAATTCTCAGCTATTACCTCTTCAAACGTTTATTCTGTCCATACTGTCTCTCCTAGAATTCCAGCTGCAGATGTGTTAAACTTCTAATGTCCTACATATCTCAGACTTTCAATTTTTTCCTCTTTGTTTTTCAGTTTGGATAATTGTAATTCAGTTTGGACATACTGACCTGTCTTTAGGTTCACTGATTATTTCTTCTACTATATCCAATCTTCTGTTAAAACTATTAAATGAATTCTTTATTTATGAATTGCATTTTTCCTTTTTAGCATTTCTGTAGGTTCTTTTTTATATTTTCACTTATCTTCTCAAATTCCTCCTCTATTCTCACATAACATCCACCTTTTCCTTTAGACTATTTAACATATTTATCCGAGTTCTATAGCCCCTGTCTGTTCCCAACACCTTGGTCATCCCTGTCTGCTTTTATTGAACGTTTTGAACGTTACCTCTTATTGATGGGTTACATTTTCTTGTTTTTTGACATGTCTCCTAAGTTTGCATGTCAGGCATTATGTATGAAAGGATAGGCTGAAGAAAGGGCAGGCTCTGCCCTCCACAGGTAAGGTAAGGGAGGGCTATCCAGGACCCTGGGGTTGGCTGCCCATTGAACAGCTTGAAGCCCAGCGCTCAGGGTGTTAGTGATTCTCACGACCTAAAGTAGAGGCTGAAGTATTAATAAATAACATTTACCCTCCAGAAAAAGAGTGTTCCTCCTTTTCTGCCCATGTGTTAGTGTGGGTGGCTCAGTCGTTCCAAATGTAGCCAAGCTGGGCTGGGCTTTTTTTGCAGTTGTAGTCAGACTCTTCTCCACAAACCTCACGTCTTGAAAGTGTGATCAGGACTGACCCATCGGTAGGGCTTAGGATCTCAGCACTGGAAAGACTCCAGCCATCTTCATGCTTTCCAGCCTGCACCCAGCATCTGACCACAGGAGACTTTTCTCTGCCTTACTGAGAGCCCTCGGCCCTGGGGACTGCTTAGGCATTCTTGTTGCTCTCCAGTGCTGCCTCTGGGGTCCCCTTGTGCCCTGCGCCATGCCTCCAGTCTTTACTGCATTGGAGGGATGCCTCTTATCAATCCTGTTCCGCCTTGTGCATGGGTGGAGAACCAGGGTGGGTGGGTGCCGACCTGTCCTGGGCTGGGGCTCCTGGGGATTGGAATCCACACACCCACTCCCCATGCGTTCTGCTGTGAGCATGGCTGGTTTCTCCTCCCCATCCATGGTGGGCTCCTCCACTTCCAGCCCTTTACCTGGAGGAAAGCAGCTTCCGGCCCCCTCCTTCTGAGCAGGCTTGTCACTTTTGGGGATTTATTTTAGTCTGCCTTGTTTTTGCTTTTGTTTTTGTTTGCATTCTCAGCTCTCTGGTGGGTTACAAACAAACAATCATTTTGTCACTTAAGCAGACTGTTTGTCTCATTAAGGCAGGATTGAGGATTTCCCTGTGACTTCCTCCATTCAGCAAATGTTTACTTGCCAGAAATACCATGTTTCACATAAACTGCTCCTTACAGAGCCCTGGGTTTCATAGCAGAATCCTAGCCCTTTGGTTTGCAGCTGTGTGTCGGAGGCCAACCTCTCACTTCTCTGAGTTCTGTCACCTTTTCTGAGGAGCGCAGGCAATGAGAGTCACTAACACCCTGAGTGCTGGGCTTCAAGCTGTTCCGTGGGCTTGAACAGGGGCCTGGCTAGCTAGCCCTCTCATACCTTACCTGTGGAGGGCAGAGCCTGCATTTTCTTATCATGGGAAATAGCAGAATGGCTCACACTAGTCCATATGTTTTATGGTAAAATACCAGGAAAACTGCTTTTAAAATCAACAACAACAATAGCAACGATGTATTGAGCTCTGTGCCAGGCACATTTTCTGTGTCTCATTTAACCTGCATCGCAGCTCTCTGAGGCAGGGGCTGTATTTAATTGTCAACTCCATGAGACACACAGGAAGCAGATGAAGATTTATAAAACTTGCCCAAGGCCCAGAGTTAGTAAGCGTTGGGACTGGGATTTGAACCCAGGCAGTCTGTCTTCTGAACCCAGGATGCCAGCCTGTGATCAGGGACTGCCCACCTTAGCTCTTGGTTTGCGGGAGGACAGGAGATGCCACCACACACAAGAGAGGGAGAGGATGGAAAGGAGGGTCCCATGTGGCATGCTGCTGATCACGGATCCAAGCCAATGGGGACCACCAAGGGGAGTGTTGGGGGTGCCACACAAAGCTGCTTCTCTGCTGGGGTTAGTGCAGGCTGAGTGTGCAAAGGGGAGGACATGGCGTGGACAGAACCCCAGATCTAGTGGTGGCTGTGTCTGGCCTGCAGAAAGGAGCAGGGCATGTGGGTGGGACAACAGCTCTCTGCGAGCCCCTTCTTCTGTGGCTGGTTCCTGCTCTACATGTTTGTCAGGGTGAAATGTGGTCATGACTATAGCTAAGATCACAAGGGAGAGACCCCAGACGAAGCAGTGTGACTGAGCACCTGGAGAAGTTGGCCAGGGCTGGAGCCCATCCCCTGGGAGGGCACAGGTGTGCAGGGACTGCTTGAGGGCAGTTTGGGGATCATCAGAGGCCCAGTGAGGGCAGCCCTTCTTCCCCCTTCATCCCTTTGCCCTGCGTTGCAAGGGACTCATCTAGCAGGTGTGTCGTCTTTAAGCCCACAACAACCCTGCCAGGAGGCATGGCTTAGTCCTGGCCTCCATTTGAGGAGACTGAGGGTCAGGAGGTGAAGGGCCTGCCCAGAGTCACACAGCACGAGGCGCAGAGCAGGACCAGGCCCCAGGTAGGGGGACCAGAGCCCAGGCCTCTCTTCCTCTAGGTGCAGCTCTCCAGGGTCGCCCACTCAAGGATCGTGTGGCCCTGGCACTGGGTTGTGTGTTGTTAGATTTTGTGTGTGGATCCCTTAGCTGCTGCCCAGAACCAGGCATGGGAGGCCAGGCTTTGTTCAGGGCAAGGGGCAGGGCACCAGAAGATGAGGTAAGGACATGGGCGTGGGGCTGCCCTCACCCCCACCAGGAGAGCAGTTCCTGGTGCACAGCAGAAGAATTAGGGAGTGGGGGGTGTGGAGGTCACTCGGGGCAGGAGGGGGGTGGGCAGAGCATTATGGGATGGTAGTGTGGGGGCTAGTTCGTGGGCTGGTACTTTGAGGATGGGCTTTTGAAGACAGAGCCCAGGGTCTGGTGGGGTCAGCCCAGTGTGTTGGGGAGGGCGGACTTGGAGCGCAGGGCTGCCCTCTGGGTGTTGGGCAGCCTTGAGACCTAGAGCACTGCCTCCAAACTGCAGTTGTGATGCCCCCCACTCCCCTCCCACCCTGCCCAGGGAAACTTGTCAATGTCAGAGACATTTTGGTCACCACAGCTGGAGAGTTGGGAGCTGCACTGGCATTCGGCTGGGAGAGTCCAGGGATGCTAAACATCCCAGAAGCATGGGCGGCCCCACACCAGGAAGGCCAGCAGTGTGGAGGCAGAGACCCCAGCCCCCCTGCTCCACAGCCCCGGGTCCTCCTTAGGCACTGTTTTCCCCTGGCCACCCATCTAGGCCGCAGCTCCCAGCACACACCCTGCCTCCTAGCACACACCACATCTACAACCCACATCTCAGCAATTGGCACCTCCATGCTGCCCCAGCAGAGGCTGGTCCTTGACATTTCCTTTGCCTCCCCTCCACATCCAACCTCTCAATTCCACGTCCTAAGTCCCCCTGTCATGTCCACCCCTCCCATCTGTCCTTCCCATGTCCACAAATCTGATGATACTCTCCTGCTTAAAACCTTTTAAAGATACCGTTTCTTTTGGATTGCATAAGAATAGCAAACACCCACCCAGCCTCCCAGTGTGCAAGTACCATCTGAGGACCTCCACAGCCATTTCATCCTCCCTGCAACTATGATTGCTTGCATTTGACAGGTGAGGAAACTAAGGTGAGAGAGTAAGTAATGCATCCAAGGTCATGCACTGGTGAGTTGTGGATCTTGACTTTGAGCCTGTGTAAATGACCACCAGTACTCTGATACCACAGACCAAAGTCCCTAGCATGGCTCAAGGCCCTGCCTAGTGGGGGGCTGCCCATCTTCCAGCTACCCCCAGCTCCCTGCTCTCCAGCCAGGTGCCCAGCCAGCCAGCTCTGCACTTTCTCTGCCCGCAGCCCTTTCCCTTCCCCTTTATCTAATCAATGTGTACTCAGCCCCCACCCACAGAGAATTTCCTTCTTGGTTATTTGGTTCCAGTCTGCCTCCCCCAGGAGGCTGCATACTGCGTGGGAGGAGGGCCTGTGTCTGGTTTGCTCATCACTGCATTCCCAGCTCCTGATACACTGCCTGACTCCTAGTAGGTGTGCAACAAATATTTGTGGAAAAGAGTTTAATGAATTATGTAGAAAGAACCTCTAACCCTAGGAGAACAGCTGCTGGGCACACACCTGCAGTGGTGTGTGGTGAGCACAGAAGAGGGTGCCTCCCACCCTGGTGACTGCAGCACCTGCCCTTGGAGGGGCTGCCAAGAACCTTCCCTGAGCTGGACGCATCAGTGTTCGTAGACCACATTTAATAACAGGCAGAACGGCCAGGCGCGGTGGCTCACACCTGTTATCCCAACACTTTGGGAGGCTGAGGCGGGCGGATCACGAGGTCAGGAGTTCGAGACCAGGTCGGCCAATATGGTGAAACCCTGTCTCTACTAAAAATACAAAAATTAGCTGAGTGTGGTGGCGTGCATCTGTAGTCCTAGCTACTCGGGAGGCTGAGGCAGAAGAATTGCTTGAACCCATTGAAATTTCTAGTTTTTCCACATCCTCAGCAATAATTCTTTATAATAGGCATTAATGGGTAGAGAGTGGTGTCTCACTGAGGTTTTAATTTTCATTTCTCTAATGACCAACAATATTGAGGGCCTTTTAGGTACTTCTCAGCCAGTCATATACCTTCTTTGGTGACATGTCTTTTCAGATCTTTTGTCCATATTTTAACTGGGTTGTTTGTTTTGTTATTTTTGGGTGATAAGAGCTCTTTATATTATTTGGATACCAGTTATTTACCATATATATGATTTGAAAATATTTCCTCCCCATTTGTGGCTTGTTTCATTTTTATAATGGTGTCTTTAGAAGCACAAAAATTATAATTTTGATAAAGTCTGACTGTCAGTTTTTCCCTCCTTTGGATTATGATTTTGGTATCTTATTTAAGAATTATGCCTAATGCAAAATCATAAAGTTTTTCTCATTTTTTCTAGAAGTTTTATAGTTTTAGCTCTTATATTTTAGTCTATGATCTATTTTTGGTAATTTTTGTGTATGATGTGAGGTAAGTTTTTAAGTTCATTTTTTTGCCTGCATATATCTAATTGTTCCAGTACCATTGGACAGAGTACCCTTGAAAGACTGCCTTTTCCGGCCGGGCGTGGTGGCTCATGCCTGTAATCCCAGCACTTTGGGAGGCCGAGGTGGGTGGATCACGAGGTCAGGAGATCGAGACCATCACGACTAACATGGTGAAACCCCGTCTCTACTAAAAATACAAAAAAATTAGCCGGGCGGGGTGGCAGGCGCCTGTAGTCCCAGCTACTTGAGAGGCTGAAGCAGGAGAATGGCTTGAACCTGGGAGGCAGAGCTTGCAGTGAGCCGAGATCGCGCCACTGTACTCCAGCCTGGGCAACAGAGCGAGACTCCGTCTCTAAAAAAAAAAAAAAAAAAAAGATTGCCTTTTCCACATTTAATTGCACAGCACCCTTGTCAAAAATCAGTTGGTCATAAATGTAAGTCCAGAAGGACTCTTAATTCTGTTCCATTGGTTATTCTTATGCCAGTAACACACTGTCTGTCTTCATTACTTCATTACTGTAACCCTGTATTACATTTTGAAAGTGGGAAGTGTGAATCCTTCTATTTCGTCCGTTTCCGAGATTGTTTTGGCTATTTTAGATTCTTTGTATTTCCATATAAATTTTAGGATCAGCTTATCAGTTTCTGGGATTTTGCCTGGAATATATAGATCACTTTGAGAGTATTTTATCTTAATGATGAAATCTCAGTATGTATGAACATAGAATGTCTCCCCATTTATATAAGAGCTTTTTGAAGTTTTCTCAGCAATATATTGTAGTTTTCAGGGTACAAGTCTTATACTTCTTTTATTAAACTTAGTCTCAAATATTTTATTCTTTTGGATGCTTTCGTCAATGAAATTTTCTTAATTTCATTTTTGGATTGCTCATTGCTAGTATATAGAAGTACACTTGATTTTTGTATATTGATCTTACAACTTGCAATCTTGCTGAACTAGTTTTATTAGTTCTGGTAGTTTTTCTAATGAATTCTTTAGAATTTTCTAGGTACCGGATCCTGTCACCTGCAAATAAAGATAATTGTACTCCTTCCTTTCCAATCTGGACAGGATTGTTTCTTTCTTCCTGGTTGCACGACCTAGAACCTCCAGTGTAATGTTGAGTGGAAGTGGCCAGAAGAGACCCCCGTGCCTTCCTCCCGATCCCAGGGGAGGCATTCAGTCTTTCATCACTGAATGTTCTATTCCCTGTGGAATTTTCACAGCCACCCTTTGTTGAGTTGAGGATGTTCCTTTCTATTCCTAGTTTATTGAGAGTTTTTATCATTTAAAGAGTGTTGGATTTTGTCAAAAGCTTTTCTCAGTCTACTAAGATGATCATTTGGGTATTTCAGATCAAACAAATTTGGAGATTTAGGTATCTTTCTTTACTTTCCTAATAGTTACAAAATCATTAAATTTCAGAAATATCTAAGGAACCTTAAAATTCCTTAAGTGCTGTGTTTCCCAAACTTCCATCACTCCTGATTTCTACCAGTCACTTTTCACCTATACTGTTTACCTAGTAATTTTTTTTTTTTTTTTGACATGGAATTTCGCTCTTGTTGCCCAGGCTGGAGTAAAATGGTGCGATCTCAGCTCACCGTAACCTCCGCCTCCCAAGTTCAAGAAATTCTCCTGCCTCAGCCTCCCAAGTAGCTGGGATTACAGGCATGCACCACCACGCCCAGCTGATTTTGTATTTTTAGTAGAGATGGGGTTTCTCCATGTTGGTCAGGCTGGTCTTGAACTCCCGACCTCAGGTGATCTGCCAGCCTCGGCCTCCCAAAGTGTTGGGATTACAGGTGTGAGCCACTGCGCCTGCCCTACCTAGTAATATTTTTATAAATCAACTCACATTTTATGAATATGTACTTAAATATATGTATTTTAAAAGGAAACAATATTGCTATGTGAAAGGTGTCAATGAAAAGAGTCAAACTGTAAAATATTTGAAGAGATTATTCTGAGCCAAATATGGGTGACCAGTGGCCAAAGAGATCCTGAGAACATGTGCCCCAGGTGGTCAGGACACAGCCTGGTTTTATACATTTTAGAGAGACAGGAGACATCAATCGAAAACATGTAAGATATACAGAGTGGCTTCCAGGTTATAGGTAGATTTAAAATTTTTCTAATTAGTAGTTGTTTGAAAGAGTTAAGTTATTATCTAAAGACCTGGGATCAATAGAAAGGAGTATCTGGGTTACGATGATAAGGGGCTGTGAAGACCGAAATTTTAACATGCAGATGAAGCCTCCAGGTAGCAGGCTTCAGAGAGAATAGAATATAAATGTTTCTTATCACACTTAAGGTCTGTGTTGATGTTAATGCTGGTCAGCTTTTCCTGAAATCCAAAAAGGAGTGTTATAGTATAGGTAGCTAGTCAGACATGAGCATGGCAGGAAAGGGCCTCCCCACCGGGAATGTCAGGCCACCATCAGGTGATGGTCAGGCAGTTGTGAAACTGTCTCTCTAAAAATAATAATTGGTCGCAGCCAGCGCCAGGAAAAGGCAGTCTCCCAATAGATAGATACAATCTGAAGCTGGTGAGCAGCAGCTTCCCGATAAGGTCTCTGGAGTTGGGCGAGTGGGTTCAAGCATGTGCACTAAGAGGCAAAACGGTGGAGTTTAAAACACTTGACTGGGACGGAAGAACGCCTCAAGCGAGCATGCGCACGGTTTCAGTAAACACACCACACCCGTGGCCCCTCCCAAGTTCTGGCAGGCCACTGCTCATGCAGACAGCCCGTCCCAAGGGAAGAATCAGAGAAGGGATGCAACCCTCCGGGAGCCTGCCAACATGTAAGCCCCAAGTCAGTGGTCAAACCGTGCACTTGATCTCTCAAGACACCCACTTGTCCTCTTCCAAGTATACTTTACTTCCTGTCATTCCTGCTCTAAACCTTTATAAAAAGTATATAAACCTTTTAGTGAACTTTCACTCCTGCTCCAAACTGCCCTCTGTCTCTCCCTTTGCCTTATGCCCCTCGGCTGAATTCTTTCCTCTGAGGAGGCAAGAACTGAGGTTGCTGCAGACCTGTACTGATTCGCCACCGCTGCTAACAGGAAGATGGTATGATGAAGCATGTTCAACGCTCCCTTCCCATCATGTCCTAAAACAGTTTTTCTGGTTAACTTTGGAATGCCCTGGTGGAGAGGAGGGGTTTATTCAAATGGTTGGGGAGCCTTAGAATTTTATTTTTGGTTTACAAAGGAAAATAAAACTGGGACCCCAATTCACTCTGCCTAAAGGAAAAAATTAAGCTGAAAGCCGAGTCGTGCAAGAAGCAGCCTTTCCTTTTGTTCCTGAGCAGACAGTAACAGATAAAAGTTAAAGAGCTTCACTCCATGTTCACCTTATCTTATAGTGAGCACAGGATGAACACATAATTGACCATTCCCCTACCTGCTCCTTTTCTCTTGCAACATGTGGATTCAGTAATGAGACCATACCCTCCCTCTGTCCCCTCCAGCAGGCTTTTCCCCTTTAAATATTGAAGCTGTTAAAACCATCTTTGGAGAAAGGCACAGACCTGTCTCCCGGGATGTGTCCTTAACCTTGGCAAAAATTGATTGGGACCTGTCTGAGATACTTTTGGTTTACAACTACCGTAAAAGGAAACCAATCTTACTGCCTTAAACAGAAAGGAATTATAATAATAATGGCACAGAAGAAAAGATATATAAGATAAAGTGGACCTCTGGGTTAAGAGGGTGGATTGAAAACAAATGTAATAATACTGTCTACCGAAGGTCCTCTCAGATTGCAGCGGGATGTTTCATGAAAGCCTAGACCCGGAAGAATAGGAGGATAGGAGACTGCAGCAGCTGACCTCTGGAAGCCAGAGCTGGATGAGGGACCTGAGCGAGAGGAGACTTGGGCAGCCGGAGCTGAAAGCTGAGCAGCAGATGCCACTGGAGCCTGTGAGGGCACGATTGAGTGTGGGGCTGGCTTGCTGCTGCTCCCACACCACTGCAGAGGCGTCCTCTCTGGAACATGGAGACAAGGTTTTTGGACAGGGGTTTCCCAGTCCCCTGGAAGAGATTAAGAGACTACTGAAGATCTCCAGGGCACTGCAAGCCAGATCTGTACCCTCCACCCAGGAGAAGGCAAAATGTCTTTCTGGAGAGCCTGGGCAGCCAGAGGGGAAAGGTCAAGAAACCTATCCTGGCCCTGGGAAAGTGGAGGGTAAGGCAGAGCCAGCCATGAGAAAGGATGATGTTTGCCCAGGCATGAAATGTAAGTGATGAATGCTGATTTATCCAGAAGTTCTCCTGTAATTGCTTTAGGGGATGAGATAGGGCATGGAGGCCGGTTTTTAACAGCTGAGTCCTCATCTCCCACAACAGGTATCAGCGGATGATCTCTCACATGGAAGAAGCCAAAGCAGCTACACCCAATGGCTTAGCAATAAGAAACACCAAACCAGACAAACACCACTGCTGCTGGGAAAGGGACCTGGCAGAAGGAAAAGGCTGTTCAGAGAGCAGAGGTATTTCGTGTGAGCCTTTTAGGGCTTCTTGTCTCTTTAGACCACATGCACATATTACTTGTATAAAATAATGCACCAGATACAAACAATGAAATACAAGTGCTGAGTTCGATAGACTCATACATCCCTGTTTGAGAATAATGCTCCCCTGTGAAGGATGGGAATGTCACCATTGGCCAGCTAGCAGGGGATTGTTGGCAGGCATGGCCTGAGACAGTAGGCACAGAGGGTATGGCCTTTGGTTTTGGTGAGCAGCGGGGAGCACCTGCCGCAGTGCGTGGTGGGGCAGGGGACAGCATGCCACTCACTATGCTGAGCTTGAGTCAGAAAAGTCATTCCTGAAGCAAAGCAGTGTGCTGGAGGTTCTGTTTGCTCCTGCAGACACCCCCCACCGCCCCCACCACCAGCCCTCCTCCACCTGCTTTGTGTCCCTGGAGATGACCTCCAGGACTTGTCAGCAGGACTCCAGCCTTGACCTCCACTCAGGTCCAACCCATGGGAGGCACCAGCAGGAGACCAAATGGGGTGGGAGCCCCACAGCCACCCCAGGTGGGCAGAGGCTGTGACCTCCACCCAGGCCGCAGCCCTCAGGCAGCTCCTCCCCGCTGACATGGGGTGCTAACATCTCCTGCAACTCTCCTGGTGAGTTCACCCTCAGGAGTGGGCCACCTGTTGCCTCCTGCCGGACCTGACAATGGGACCATGGGGGAAGAGCCCCCTGCTCGTGGAGGGTTATTTCAGGAAGGCTTTGCGGCTCTGGGCGCTGCTGCTCTGCTCGTGTCAAGTGATTCAGTGAGAGCCACAGAGTGGCAATGGCTGCTGTTGTCCAGTTAGGAAAGCCAGGGAGGCCCTGTTACCAACCCTCTCGCTTGAGCAGCTGCCTCCAGGAGCCCTGCAGCTGACAGCCATGAGCTCCTTATATGTGAACTGCTTGACTCTTTAAACCGCATGAAATAATGCGACGACACACAGTGATGGACCAGCAGAGAGTAGCGCGTATGGGAGACTCACGAACATTGAAGGGACGGAAAGGTGAGGCGGCTCCAGGGCCCAGTGTGCTGTCAGCCACCAAGCAGGGCCCTGAACACAGTTCGTCCTTCTAGTAGCCCCAGTTGACAGGGCCTATGAGCTGCCAAGGAGCCTCCCTGGCCTCTGAGCCCATGAAATGAGTCTGCCGCCATCTCTCCAGACTGCTTTCAAGACCCAGGCCTTGGCTGTGGATGGTTTCCCCGACCGCTTCTGCCAGCCCAGCCCCTTCCAGGAGGCCCTGTGCTGTGTGAGGGGAGGCAGTGAGGGTGTGTGTCTGGCTTCTATTCCTCCCTTGCCCTCCCTTCCGACCCTTGTCCTCCACCCCAGCCACATGTCCCTCCAGTCCTTGTCTGACGGTGTCCAACAGCCCATGTAGGCCACACACAGGTCTATGAGAGCCAAACCAAGAGCCCAGCACTGCAGGCTGCTCTCCTGCTCTCTGGCCACCCCCGGTGCCCTCTGCAGGCCAGGATGGGCTGTTCTGCTTCATGTGTCAAGACTGTCCAAATTCCTGCCTGGCTCACACCCCGGCCAGTTGGGCGGTGAGGTAAACCTTCCAGCTCCCCTCACCCCAGGAGGAGCTATTTTCTCAGTTTGCTGAGGAAGGGCCTGGCAGGGCACAACCATGGTGGCCTCCTGGGTGGTCACGGGGTGGCGGTGGGGTTGGGCACTGAGAAGGGAGGTGCCTGGACCTGGTATCCACATGTGATGGGACTAGGCAGGGCACAAGCTGCAGGAGCAGAGCAGGGCTCAGGGCCCATGCCCACCCTGCCAGAGGGTGCAGACAGGCGGGAGCACCCAGCTTGTGTGCTTCAGGGCATGGTCCCCCAACTAGCCTGGCTGCAGGACCCAGGGCAGTAAGGGCCTGTCCGGAACCAGCTTCTGCTCTGTGTCAGGGCATGCTCTGCTCTGCTGGACACATAGCACCAGCATTGGCGAGGACCCTCGAGCCACCAGTCTGTTGGGAAACTAAAGACCAATCTGCTTAGAGAACAGGCCTCTCATCACTTTAGAAGAGCTTCCTGCCAGTTCCTGCTGAAGCCAGTCCCTGCTTCTTCCTTTTAGGAGGAAAGTCTCGGCTGGGCATACAATGCCAGCTAGAGACCATATGTCCAATGTCCCTTTGCAGCTGGCATGGCTGCCAACCATGTGACTAGGTTTGGGACATGATGTTGCAGCTTCCACTTCAAGTCCTTATATGTGAAGTTTTCTGCCCTCCAGTTCCTCTCCTCTTCCAGCCCACAGGCGGGAGTACAGGTGTGAAAGGAGCCAGCTGCCGCCATGCACCTCAGGGAGAGGCGAACCACAAGGAAGGACCAGGGCTACTGAGTGACCTCACTGGGCACAGTCCCACCAACGTGGGCTGCTCATCTTTAGAGGGTTAGGAGAGGGAGGTGCCAGCTTCTGTGTTTCGGGGCCACTGCATTGGAGGTGTCTTTGTTGCAGCAGGTGAGTGCTGACCAACATGCCATCTCCGTGTGCCAATTTAAAGGGCATTTCCAACCCCAGGCATTTGGAAGACAGACTAGCCTCACAGTCAAGCAGTCTGAATTTCTTCCTGCAGCACCTTGAATGCACCTGTGGGAACCTGGGGCTCTGTTTTCTTGTAACCCCTTGGATCACCACCAGCATACCAAGGACGGCCCAGCCAAGTGCAAAGGCAGCCTGGCTGCCTGCACTGGAGAGCTGCTGCCCTGGAGGAACAAGCCTGGGCCTCTCCCAGCCCTGTCAAGGCCCCTTCCTCTGGTGTTTGGGGAAAGGGGTTGGACTCACATCTTCTTGGACAGCTGCCTGACCCCAGAGCTGGTGCCCTGCTCACATTCCCTCCATGGAGATGAGGCCAGGACTCAGGACCACCCTCTGCCTCCAGGGGACACAGCTCCCACCACAGGCTCTGGCACAGGGCTGGTGCCTTTCAGGTCACAAAAGGACTTCACACACAAAAGCTGTCAACAATATCAAATGTCCCTGCTCCTACAGCCATGAGCCACGCTCTAGTCTGGGAGGGGCTCACTCATTGGTCCCCCCTGCCGCCTCTGTGGTCCCCACTAAGTCCCCCACTGCACACACAGCTGTCTACTCTCAAACTTGAATCTGGTCTCTGTATTTAAAAATATGCAATTTGAGTTTTCTCTTTAGTGGACTCACAGGCCCCAGGTTGGACTTAGGGCAGAATTCAAAGCCCCATGATCTGATGTCCCTGACCCCTCCTCCCCAGCAGCCTTGTATGTGGTGAAAGGAGGGGATGGAAGAATGACCTCTTGCTGTCCCCAAAGCAAACACCATTACCCAGGCAAAATCCTGGGTCACAGTTGTAATGTGAAAAAAAGAATGTAAAATAAGAAACATTGAACAGGACGGAGAGGGTTTGTTCTGTTTTATGAAGGACACAATCTACACTGGAGTCATAAGCATCCTGAGCCTCTTTGCACCTGTGCCGGGAATGATGCTCCAGAAAATCTGAGGGGAGAGGTGGTTTCAGCCCTTGCCCACTCGTTTCATCACTGCACCACACGCATGCCTCATCAGAGAGCGCAGGCCTGCTGGGCCACCCCCTCCCTCTGATATTCAAAATCTCAAGGGCTGCAGTCCCAGAGCGGGGTCAGCCAGTCTTCCTGCCAAGCCTGGAGCCCGTGCATCCACCTCTGCTGTTCCCTTTTGCCAGCACACGATGGCACCAGGGAAAGCAGAGCCCATCCTGTGGCTGGGAGGGGCTGGGATTCCTGCACTGGCCACAGAGGCTTCCAGAGAGAGAACAGGGTGCTATTCCTGCAGATGCTTGCAGGCTGCCTCCAGATCAGGCTCCCAGGACACAACCCTTAACCCCAGTATCACTTCCCCCCCTTCTCTGTCCTGTAAGCCGTTTAGGAGTCAGGCACAATTTCTTTCTGCTCATACACCCTTGGAGTCCAGCGCTGACACAAATGAGTGAAGCAGCCCAGGTGTCCAAAGAGCACATGGGCCTTGTCAAGGGGCAGTCTCCACTCACCTGGCCCCCTGTGACCACCTGGGTCATGCGGGCCATGGCAGCTGGGTTCCCTGAATAGTGGAGAAATGTGAAGTCTCTTTCAAACATGGGCAGATAGTTCTATTTCCTATCCACTTTATTGAGGTAGCCACCATGATGGTTATATAGAATAATTCTATAACCCCAAAAATGTTCCCTAGTGCCTATTTGAAATCAGTCCACTCCCCTTCAGTACTGACCCCTGCCAACCACTGGTCTGTTTCTGTCACTATAGTTTTGCAAGTAGAATCACATGGTATGTAGTCTATAGTGGCTCATTTTGTTCATTTAGCAGAATGCATTTGAGACCAATCTACATTGTTGTGGACATCAGTAGTTTGTTTCTTTTTGTTGCTGAGTTAATAAAATACAGATTGTCCCTGATTTGACCAATTCAAGCTGGTTCTGGGTCATTTTGAAGTGTCCTCATCACTCTTTGATCACTGACTTGCTTTCTGGCAAACAAGATGTTCTAGGCTCATCTGTGTGTAGGGGGCGGTGGGTGGAGTTGTGTTTATTGAGATAAATTCACATGAATTAATCATTTTAAAGAGTGCAATTCAATGGCATTTAGTACATTCACAATATTGTGCCACCACCACCTCTTGTCAAAATATTTCCATCATCTCAAAGGGACACCCCATACCCATTAAACAGTAACTCCCAATTTCCCACCTCCCCAGCTCCTGACAAACTCTATTCTACTTTGTCTCTATGAATTTGTCTATTCTAGATATTTCACAAAATTGGAATAATATATGACCATTTGTGCCTGGCTTATTTCACTTAGTTTAATGTTGTTGAAGTTTATCCTGTTGTAGCATAAACTAGTACTTCATTCATTTTCATGCTAAATAATATTCCATTGTATGGCTATAACACATTTTGTTTATACATTCATCTGTTGATGGATACTTGAGTTGTTTCTGCCTTTTAGCTATTATAAATAATTCCGCAATGAATACTAGTGTACAAGAATCTGCCTGAGTCCTTGTTTCAATCATTTGGTAAATATACCTAGGAGTGGAATCACTGGGTCTTCTGGTAATCCTATGTTTAACTTTCTGAGGCCCTGGCGGGCTGTTTTCCACAGCCACTGTACCATTTTCCATTCCCTCCAGCAATGTGAGAGGGTTCTGATTTCTCCACCTCCTCGTCAACACTTGGTTTTTCCTTTTTTTCGGCTAATAGCCATCCTAATGGATGTGGAGTAGTATTTCCCTGTGGTTTATTTGCATTTTGCTGATGCCTAACAATGTTGAGCATGTTTTCATTTGCTTGTTGGCCATTTGTATATCTACCTGGGTAAAATGTCTATTTTAGTACTTTGCACCTTTTTAAATTGGTGTTTTGTTGTTGTTGTTGATTTGTAAGAGTTCTTTATATAATCTGGAATGTTAAACCATTATCATATTTGCAAGTATTTTCTCCCATTATATGGGTTGTCTTTGGCTTTCTCGATAATATCCTTTGAAGCATGAAAGGTTTTAGTTTTGACAAGGTCTAGTTAATCTATTTATTATTTTGTTGCTTGCACTATTGATGTTATATTTAAGAAACCCTTGTCCAATGAAAGGATATGGAGATTTAAACCTATACTTCCTTCTAAGACTTTTATAGTTTGGAAGACTCCTTTTAAGAGTGTTATATTCAGACTTTAGATCTGTTTTTAGCTAATGTTTGTGTGTAGTACAATGTAAGGGTCCAATTTAATATTTTTACATGCAGATATTCAGTTGTCCTAGTGCCATCTGTTAAAGAGACAATTCTTTCCCCGTTGAATGGTCCTGGTACCCTAGTAAAAAGACAATTAATGATAGATTTATGGGTTTATTTCTGGAAACTCAATTCTACCCTATTGATCTATGTCTATCCTCATGCTAGTATCACAATGTTTTGATTAGTGTAGATTTGTAGCCTGTTTTCTAATTAAGAAGTGTGGGTTTTCCAACTTTGTCTTACTTTTTCTAGATTGTTTTGCCCATTCAGGGTCTCTTGCCTTTCCATACGAATTTGAGGATCAGCTTTTCCATATCTGCACAAAATGAATGGGATTTTGATAAGTATTGCACTGAATCTGTTCTGATAGGGATGACATTGAACTGGTGGAACATTTTAGGTAGTATTTCCATCTTAATATTAAATCTTCCAATCCATAAACACAGGTTGTCTTTCCATTTACTTAGGTATTCTTTAATTTCTTTCAGCATAGGAGAAGAGACAAACAGTCAAGCAGTGAAATTTTGGAAAGAAAAGCAGTAGATGAGTGGAAAATAACCCAGCATATAAAAGAAATAAAATTCTGAGATGGTATGGGGGAAAGTCAAGAACCCATTCTGACTTTATATCAAAGTAATCAAAATCTCAAAGTGCTGGCACCATGTGCCTCTGGAAAAGGAAGTGAACAGGTTGGGGTGTGGTGGCCAGCTGAGATAAAGTAGATTCTTTGAAAGTTTACTTATGAGACAATGGGATTCCCACCTCCCACCACCTTTCAGGGCATTTTCTGTACTGTCCAGAAGGTTATTTGCTGGAGAGGGTTAAAACCAAGGATCTCTTGACTACAAGGCACTAGGCACAAATAGAGACATGGATGCTACACTAGCACAATATTGAGATGAACAAATACTTCCTGAATCCTCAGACCTCTTCTCTCACTCACCTTCCACAACTCTGGCAATGAGCCCTTCACCCTTGCTCTAGCCAGAGATTGGTAGTCTTATAGGCCCCTAAGGGAAGACTTAAAGATACTGAGTAAACGTCCTTAAGTAAACTTACCCAGTTAGATTATCTGACAAGGAAGCTCAAATTCAGTAAGCCATGAACGCATGCTTAGAGCCTTCAAATGCTGTTTTTCTTTTTAATTTTTAAAAATTAAGACATAATTTACTTATAATCAAATTCAGTTTTTAGGTGTACAGTTCTGAGTCCAGAAAACACAATTGTAAAACTACCATTAGAATAAAGATAAAGGACAGTTCCATGTCCCCCAAATCCAAACATCTTTTTAATCTCCAACATTTAATATGAGTAGAGAAAGATCATCAGACTTGAGAGAAACAGGGAGTATTACAGAAATCCTCAGAGAGAATGTATTACAATCATGACCTGAACATAGAATATATTATCAAAAGTAGCATTCAGAGACCCAAAAGATAACTATTAGAAATATTAGAAATGTGAATTTTCTCTATGGCCATACCACCCTGAACACACCTGACCTCATCTGATCTCAGAAGCTAAGCAGGGTCAGGCCTGGTTAGTACTTCGATGGGAAAAAATGTCAATTTTGATGGTAGAAACTAAAAATCCAATGGGTGGGCATTTATCCCAGAGAAATGAAGGCTTATGTTCATTTCTGTGTGTATCTGAATGTTTGTGGCAGCCTTACTTATAACAGCCTCAACCTGGAAACAACCAAAATGTCCTTTAACAGGTGAATAGTTAACCAAACTATGGCACGTTCATACCAAGAAATTTACTCAGCAATAAAAATGAATGAACAGAAATGACATTATGGGAAATGATGGCATAGGACATGCCAGGAATCCATCCCTCCACTGAGATAACAATTGAGCTGTCAGGAAGTTTCCAAAGCAGCTATTTTGGAACTCTGGAGTCTAGTTGAAAACTTGCATCATCCATGGAAGAACCTGATGAAGAAGCTGGTGAATTTCCATGTTTCTAATAGTGCCTAATATCCTCCATTCCCTAGCAGTGTGGCAGGCAGCCATGGGATGACAGCTTATGTTCATGGTGTGACCTGCTGGTGCCAGAGTGGGCAATAAGGACCTTGTCCTTCACAAACCAGGATGTGTGTTTGACTGCTGATGGCTGCATTTGGTTGCTGGGGGGATGGCTCAGAGGCTGGTCATTCTTTCAACTCCCACAATCTGAAACAGCTTCTCTGCCACAAGGGTAATTAGAGAAATAGTAATTTTTAAGAAGAGATATTTTATTTTTATTTTGCCCTTTTTGGGAGCCAGACATTTAAGGAAATCTTTGTCAAGTCACTGGCTGACCACAGAGAACAAACTCCAGCAACCACACTCCACAATGAATACACACTTTATAAAATTTTCAAGAAGTCACAAATAGGTGGCTCCAACCCTCAATAAACAAAAATAATTCCTGAGGAGTGGGAATATGTGGTTTCCAGAGTTTCCACATTACAGTACTCAGAATGTACAGTTCTCAGTAAGACAAAACCAAAAACAAAGCATAGAATTAGTTTGCTAGGACTGCCATAATGAACACAAACACATTCAGTAGCTTAAACAGCAGAAATTTATTGGTTCACAGTTCTGGAGGCTATATGTCCAAAATGGCAGGGTTGGTTCCCTCTGAGAGCTGTGAGACAGAACCTGTTCCATCCTTCTCTCTTACCTTCTGGTGGTTTGCTAGCATTATTTGGCATTCTGTGGCTTGCAGTTCTCTGTCTTTATCTTTAAACAGCATTCTCCCTAAGTTTGTGTCTACATCCAAAATTTTCCCTTCTTACAAGGACACGAGTCATATTATATTAGGGGACCATTCCTACTCCAGTGTGACCTCATCTTAACTAATTTGCAATGATCTTATATCCAAAAAAGTGATATGGTGAGGTGCTGGGGTTTAGAATTTCAACATATAAATTTCAGAGGGACACAGTTCAACCCATAACTTGAAGATAAGGCAATAAAAATTATTGTTTGAATAATATAAAGAAAAAATATGAAAAATGTGAATAGAGGCTGAGATACCTGTGGGACACCATCAAGCATAACATACACAGCATTAGAGTCCCAGAAGGAGAAGAGAGGGAAAGAAAGGGACATAAAAGAATATTTGAAGAAACAACGGCTGAAAACTTCCCAAATCTGATGAAAGACATAATAATACACATTCAAAAAGCTCAGTTCATGCCAACACACATTATAGTCAAACTGTCAATACTCAAAGACAAATGGAGAATCTTGAAAGCAGCAAGAGAGGAGCTACTCATCACGTACAAGGGATTCTCAATAAGATTAGCAGCTCATTTTTCATCAGAAACCATGAAGGCTACACAGGAAAGGGATGCCATGTTTAAAGTCCTGAAAGAAAAATAAGGTGTCAACCAAGATTTCTATTTTTAGCAAAATGATACTTTAAGAATGAAGGAAAACTTCAGACATTTCCAAATAACAAAAGCAAAAAAGGGGGGTTGTTATCAGTAGACTTTCCCTATTAGAAATGCTAAAGGGAAAAGGGAGGGTTTTAGCAGAAATGAAAATATGCTAGACAGAAACTTGAAACTATAATACAAAATAAGAACACTGGTAATGGTAGTTACATAGCTAAATATAAAAGTCAGTATGACTGTAATTTTAGTATATAATTCCTTTTTTACCTTAGGAATTAAAAGTTAAGTGCATAAAGGAATAATTACAAATTTATGTTAATGGGTGCACAATGTATAAAGATGTAATTTGTGACAATCAATATAAAGTGGAGTAATGAAGAGATACAGGAGTAGAGTGTTTATATATAATTTTAACTAAGTTGCTATTCATACTAGGAGGTTATAAGTGTAAGGTGTTGATTGTAACCTCCAAGTTAAACCACTAAGATAGTAACTAAAAACTATACTGAAAAAGACTGAAGAAAAGACTCAAAGTAGTACGCTACAAAAATCAAGTAACTTTACAGCTTAGGCAGTAATTGTGAAATTGAGGACCAAAAAACACATGAGACATAAGGAAAAGAAATACTAAATGGCAGAAGTAAGTTCTTTCTTCTCAGTAATTACTTTAAGTGAAAGTGGATTAAATTATCCAATTAGTAGGCAAAGATTAGCAGAATATATAAAAGACCCATATATGTGCTGTCTATAAAGAATCACTTTAGATTCAAAACTCATATAGATTGCAAGTAAAAGGGTGGAAGAAGATATTCCATTAAAGCAGTAACCAAAAGAGAGCTTGCATTGATATGTTATTGTCAGACAAAATAGACTTTAAGTCAAAAAGGTTACAAGAGACAAAGAACATTAAACATTGATAAAAGGGTTGATCCATCAAAATATATAGCTATCATAAACATATATGCACCTAACAACAGAACCCCCAAAAATATGAAGCAAAAATTGATAAAATTGAAGGAAGAAATAGTTCTACAGTAATAGATGGAGATTTTAATACCCAAATTTCAATAATCGATAGAACCAAACAGAAGAAGATCAATAAAGAAATAGAGGCTGAGTGCAGTGGCTCACGCCTGTAATCCCAGCACTTTGGGAGGCTGAGGCAGGTGGATCACCTGAGGTCAGAAGTTTGAGACCAGCTTGGCCAACACAGTGAAACCCTGTCTCTACTAAAAATACAAAAATTAGCTGGGCGTGGTGGTGGACGACTGTATTCCCAGCTACTTGGAAGCTGAGGCAGGAGAATTGCTTGAACTTGGGAGATGGAGGTTGCAGTGAGCTGAGATCATGCCACTGCACTCCAACCTGGGTGACAGAGTGAGACTCTGTCTCAAAAAAGAAAAAGAAATAGAGCACTTGAACAACACTCTAAACCAATTAGACCTAACAGATTATATAGAAAACTAAACCCAACAATAGCAAAATATACATTCTTCTTAAATGTACATAGGATGTTCTCCAGGACATATTAGGCCATAAAATAAATCTTAATAAGCCTAAGAAGATTCAAATCATACAAAGTATATTTTTTATCACAACGGAATGACTAGAAATCCATGACAGAAGGAAAACTGGAAAAATTACAGTATTTGCCTATTAAATAACACACTTTATGCAACCAGTAGGTCAAAGAATAAATCCACAAGGGAATTTAGAAAATGCCTTGATATGAATTAGGCCAGGCACGGTGGCTCACTCGTGTAATCCCAGCACTTTGGGAGGTTGAGATGGGTTGATCATTTGATGCCAGGAGTTTGAGACCAGCCTGGCCAGCATGGTAAAACCAAGTCTTTACCAAAAATGCAAAAATTAGCCAGGCGTGGTGGCACCTGCCTGTATTTCCAGCTACTCGAGAGGCTGAGGCATGAGAATCACTTGAACTCAAGAAACAGAGGTTGCAGTGAGCCGAGATTGCGCTACTGCACTCCATCCTGTGCAACAGAGTGAAACTGTCTCAAAAAAAAAAAAAAAAAAGAAAAGAAGGAAAGAGAAAGAAAAAAGAAAATGCCTTGATATGAATTAAAAGAAAAACTCAACATACCAAATGTTATGGTATGCAGAGAAAGCAGTGCTAAGAGGGAAACTTGTAGCTATTAATGTCTACATCTTAAAAATAAGAAGGATCCCAAATTAATGATCTAACTACACAATTTAAGGAATTAGAAAACGAAGAGCAGACTAAATCCAGAGCTAGCAGAAGTAAGGAAATAATGAAGGTTAAAGATAAATCAAGTCGAGAATGGAAAAACAATGGAGAAAATCAACAAAACCAAAAGGCGATTTTTGAAGTGATCAAAATTAACAAAGCTTTAGCTAGATTGACTAAGGAAAGAAAAAGACTCAAATTAGTAAAATAAGAAAGGAAAGTGGGAGGTATTACTACTGACCATACAGAAATAAAAAGGATTATGAAAGAATACGCCAAAAAATGTCACGCCAACAAATTGGATAACCTAGATAAAATGGACAAATTTCTAGAAACAAAAAAAAAAAAAACCAACAAGACTGAATCAGGGAGAAATAGAAAATATGAATAGACTCATAACTAGTAAAGAGATTGAATCAGTAACGAAGAAAAGCCCTGGGCCACATGATATCACTCGTGAATTCTAACAAACACTTACTAAAGAACATACATAAATGTTTTTCAAAGTTTTTCTAAAAGTTGAAGAGGTGGGACCATTTCCTAACTCATTCTGTGAGGCCAGCATTGCCCTAATACCAAAGTCAGACAAAGACCCTACAAGAAAGGAAAACTAGGGGCCAATATCCCTTATGAATACACATGCAAAAATCCTCAATGAAATATTAGTAAATGAAATTCATCAGCATATTAAAAGTGTTACACACTATTAACAAGTAATATTTATCCCTAGAATGTAAGGATTATTTTTTCATAATGAAAATATCAATGTACTACACTACATTATTAGAATGAGGAGGAAAAGACATGATCATTTCAATTGATGTGGAAAACACGCTTGACAAAATTGAACACTCTTTCATGATAAAAACACTCAACTCCTTAACATGATAAAGGCAATATATCCAAAAATCCCACAGCCAACACCATACTGTATAGTGAAAAACTGGAAACTTTTTCTCTAAGATCAAGAAGGAGACAAGGATGCCCACCTTCCCCAGTTCTATTTAACACAGTACTGGAAGTTCTAGCCAGAGCAACTAAGCAAGAAAAGGAAATATAAAGCATTCGAATTGGAAAGGAAGAAGTGAAGTTACCTCCGTTCACAGATGGCATATAGAAAACCCTAAATAATCCATAAAAACCCTGTTAGCACTAATAAGTAAAAAGCCGTAGGGTATAGCAGACAGTGGCACAGGTGAACAGCACTAATAAGTGAAAAGTCGTAGGGTACAGTAGACAGTGGCACAGGTGAACGGCTGAACCACTTCCAGTTCAGCTCCTTCACTGCCTTCTCCTTCCTCAACCCCCTGCAACCTGGTGTCCACTCCTCCACAGAAACAGCTTTTCTGCAGCCTCAGTGTCTGTACCTATTTCTGGGCGTCTCTTCTGTATGCAGAACCTGAACAGGGAGAGGTCTCTGCTATGAAGAGTGCAGATGTGGATGCTTCTGTCTGGGTGCGTGGAGCTGAGAGGCTGGCCAGCCCTGGCCCATGTGCTGCTGACTTTGCAGTCACTCCCTGGGCCAGAGGGGCTTCAGGCTGGAGTCTGAGCCTCATGGGTCAGCAGCTGTGATGTCACCAATTGTGACCTCAAGGGCTTCTGACCTTGCAGTGAGCTTGTTGGCACTGCCTGTCCGGGGACCCTGGGGCTGCTGTTCCTGTGGTAATGTGGCAGCTGGGACCATGGCCAGCTTCAGTCTGCCTGGCGTCACATAAGCCAGCCCACAGGGTCCTGCAGCTTGTCCTTTCTGGCTGGAAGCTCTGGGCATAGCCTGGGACTGGGTCTTTCCAGAGAGGGCTGTAGCCAGGGCCCTGCCAGCCTCGGGGGCCACAGCGGCTCTCACACCAGCATCTTGCTGGATAGGAGCAGTTCCAGGACTCTCTGATCACACCTGATCATCGTCACTGCCAGAATTCAAGGTAGCTGCCTGGTGAGTGCTAGCAGCCTGTGTGGCTGGAAAGGACAGTCCCCAAGTCGGTTAGGGACTTGGGAAGCAGCAACAGGGTGGCGGAGAAGAGCCTGGGACAGGGTCATGATGGCAGAGGGCAGCCCTGGACTCTGCAGCAGCCCTGTCCCTGTGGGGCAGATTCAGCAGTCAGCTTACAGGGTCATCTCCATGACCTAGGGGTCAGGTGGGAGGGTATGGGGTGGGGCTGAGGGGCGCTCCTGTCTCCCTTGATCCCTCAATTCCTGTGGTAATGCTGCTTCCCCGGTTCAGGACTGTTTGAGGCTGCATGGCCCAGCAGGAGGAGCACAGGCCACCCATCCTGAACCTCTTCCCCGACTCACTGTGTGAATGCAGGCAAATCAGTTAACTTTCCGGAGCCTCAGTTTCCTCACTTGAATTATGGGGGTGAGCATAATACGTTCTCCATCAGGTAGAAAAAAAATGAAGTGAGGTTATGCATAGAATGTAGCAGACACTTAGAGGCCACAGGCACCATTCTGCAGCCTCCTGCTGTGGCCCTGCTGCCTGTCCCGGCCCAGGCTTCCCCTGCCCCGCACTCCTCAGGGTTGAGCCTGGGCTGGAGGTGACTCACCCAAGTGCACCTGACAGGAAGGGGCTGAGCTGGGGCCTGGCCCAGGCTGTGGCTGCAGGACTGTGGGCTTAGGCCCAGCGAAGGCATCCCAGAGTCCTCAGAACAGCCAGGGCTGCAGGGGCGGAGGCCACCAAGACCCCCTTTAGCCAGCACTGGTGTAGAGAGCTGCACCCTGTACTAGACTAGTGGGCAAGTCAGTGGGGAAGCCTGCCCTTCAGGGCCCAGGGACTTCTTGGTGCGGGCAAGGGACAGGTCGTGAGCAGGGCTGGCAGTATTTCTGGGCCAGGGCAAAGGCCCTCTGGATGGCTGATCTTCCAGAGTCAGAGATGGGGCACGGAGGCGGTGGGTGAGCGGGTGTGTTCTGGCTCACAGACAGGCTGGTCTCCCATGCCATGGCCATGGTCCCAGTGGCCTGTGTTCAGTGTCCAGTGTGCAGCCTCCCGCCTCGGGCCTTGAGTGATTCCACACTTGGCGGCAGGCAGCCTCCCAGCTAGCCCAGTACCCCGCCCTCAGAGGGATGGATGAGCAGCATGGCACATTATGGGATCACTGCCGAGCAGTCTTGCCCGAGCCCACCGGCTTTTGGAGGACTCCGGAATCCCAGATTTGGAAAGGGCTACCCGTGTTCCCCAGGGGCTCCTCTCCAGACATCATCGGATTTTGAATCATGCCAGGTGTGGTAGTAGGTCACGCCAGCTGCTTTGAATTGGGAAGGGAAGCAAGGTGCGTTATGGGCTGGTGGGGGCAGCCTCTGCCTTGGACCAAGGAAGCGAGGAGCTCCCAGGTCACGCAGCAGAGGATAGGGACAGAGCTGAGGCCAGCCACACCCAGATGGCCACCTGCCTGTGTGTGGGGGTGTGTATGAGGTCAGGTCTGAGTGTGAGTCTGTAAGAGTGTCTGTATGTGTCTGTGTGTGAGTGTGAATCTGTGTGTGTGTGAATCTGTGTGTGAATGTGTGAGTCTGTGTATGTGAATCTGTGTATGTGTATGTGAGTTTGTGTGGGTCTGTGTGTATGTGTCTATGTGTCTGTATGTGTGTGTATGTGAATCTATGTGTGTCTGTGTGTATGAGTGTGTGAGTGTGTATGTGTCTGTGTGTGTCTATGTGTGTGAGTCTGAGCATGTGTGTGAGTCTGTGTGTGTGTGTGTATGTGAGTCTGTGTGTGGGGGGTGTCTGTGTGTGAGTGTGTATGTGAGTCTGTGTGTGTGGGTGAGCCTGAGTGTGTGTGAGTCTGAGTGTGTGAGTCTGTGTGAGTGTGCGTATGTGTGAGTCTGTGAGTATGAGTCTGTGTGTGGGGTCAGTCTGTGTGAGTGTGTGTGTGAGAATGAGTGTGTGTGTCTGTGAGAGTGAGTGTGTGTGTGTGTGTGTGTGGGAACGGCAGTCAGTGAGGCGAGGTGGGAAACCTGCTTAGCGGCCGCCTTCTTGGCCTGGGTCCTCTGAGGCTGGGGCGTTTGCAGCGGTTGCTGGGCATGAGTGTGTAGATGTGCAGTCCCCAAGCAGGCCCTGGACAGGTGCAAGTGCAGAGCTGCACTTGGGAGCTGCACCCAGGAGGCGCTGAGAGGAAAGTGGGATGTGGGGAGGGAAGGGGAAGGGAGGATGCACTCTGGGGTGTGTCCTCACCATGGCTGCAGCTCAGCCAGCCCCCACAGGCTGCTGTGGGTGACTGTGCAGAGCACAGCTCCGAGCTGCCCCCAAAGAGGGGCAAGGGAGCTGGGGTATTTATCCAATTCCCTGCCCTCATTGGTGAGGGGCTGCTGTCACTCTCTGTGCATGGCCTAGTGCATCTCTGCAGCCGGAGGGAGTCAAAGGCCTGGCCTCCAGGTGTGGAGGTGAGGGCAGAGGTGCTGTGCATGGGCCCCTGACAGCATCTGCTGCAAATCTCAGGCTGAAGCCAGGTCCTCACTGGCATGCAGGCTCCCTGCTTCTGGGGCATCCCCACCAAAGCAGTGCACAATCCTCTAGGCTGAGGGCTTTCAGTGGAGCACCAGGTAGGATGGGACAGGGTGTGGTGTGGAGGGGCTGGCAGGCCTGTGAGCTGGGCTGTCCCGATGTTGCCCACCAGATGTGGGAGGAGGCAGACATTCCTCAGGGCCACACCCCTGCCCCTGCAAGGCACACTACATGGCCCTGTCCATCAAGGGACCTCCCAGAGGGCAGTGGGGCTGGGGAGCCTGCGGAGACAAAGCTGGCACAGCCCTGGAGGGGCAGGGTTATGGAGCAGGAAGGTAGGGGGTGGCTGGCAAGGGTGTTAGAGGGTCTTTGAGGCCAGGGGGTGGCTCTAGTCCAGTGGTCCCTAACCTTTTTGGCACCACGGTTTCATGGAAAACAATTTTTCCATGGACACTGTGGCAGGGAGTGGTGGCTGGTTTGGGGATGAAACTGTTCCACCTCAGATCATCAGGGATGAGCTAGATTCTCATAAGGAGCATGCAGCCTAGATTCCCCACATGCTCAGTTCATAATGGGGCCTGCGCTCCTATGAGAATCTAATGCTGCCGCTGATCTGACAGGAGGTGGAGCTCAGGTGATAATGCTCACTCACCTGCCACCCACCTCCTGCTGTGCGGCCCAGTTCCATGCTGGAGCGGGGTCTAGCCTGCACCGTGTCAGGTCTCCTGCGACTGTACCGTCCTGGCCTCAAAGGGTGATGGCCCCCAAAGACTGCTCATCTCTCCTCTGAATGGGCAGGTGATGCCTCCTCAGTGTCATAAACACGGGGCTTCGGCACAGCATGGCTGGTTGAGAACCCCCAGCAGCCAGGGAAGCACGCATCAGGGGTCACCTTGACCAAAGGGCTGGCCTTCCTGAGAGAGGACAGGAGCCAAACACTCAGGCCTAGGGTTCTGGTGAAGTGCAGCCTCCAAGCTTGTCGCTAGAACCACACCCAGGGAAGCAGCAGACTTCCTCCGAGTGGCCAGAGCTGTGCTGTCCAATGCAGCAGGCACTAGCCATGAGCAGCTAGCCGTTCACAGTTATTAGAATTAAATACAACTGAAAACTATTCAGTCCCTCAGTCATGCTCAGCTGATAGCCTCATGTAGCCAGCAGCTGCCGTCTCGGACAGCACGGACCTAGGGCATTTCCATCATCTCAGAAAGTTCTACTGGATGGTGCTAGTCCCAGAGAAAGGCCACCACCTGGCTAGGCCACAAGGACCCAGCCCCCCAGACCAGGAATCAGCCCCACTCCCTGACCAGGGCTTCACTTGTCAGCTCAGGGGACGAAATGTGGCACCTGGGGAAACTGGCAGGCAGTCGGCATTGTCACAACATGCTTCAGGGTCCCGTGTGGTGGCATGCTGGCTGAGGTGGCTACCATGAAAACACACCAGTGAGAAGGAACAGGTGACATGCTGCCACAAAGGACACCAGGGGTCAGACCTTACCCTCCAGTAGTCTCAATGCTCACCTAACTCTGCTCACCTGGGGTGCTTTAAAATGTATGTACAGCCGGGCCAGGCGCGGTGGCTCACGCCTGTAATCCCAACACTTTGGGAGGCCGAGGCGGATGGATCACCTGAGGTCAGGAGTTTGAGACCAGCCTGGCCAACATGGTGAAACCCCGTCTCTACTAAAAATACAAAAATTAGCCAGGCGTGGTGGCAGGCGCCTGTAATCCCAGCTACTTGGGAGGCTGAGGCAGGAGAATTGCTTGAATCTGGGAGGCAGAGGTTGCAGTGAGCCAAGATCATGCCATTGCACTCCAGCCTGGGGACGAGAGCGAGACTTCGTCTCAAAAAAAAAAAAAAAAAAACAACAGAAAAACAAAACAAACAAAAAATGTATGTACAGCCTGGGCAATATAGTTAGACCCCATTTCTACAAAAATATATAATTAGTGGGGCATGGTAGCACATGCCTGTGCTCCCAGCTACTCGGGAGGCTGAGGTGGCAGGATCACTTGAACCCAGGAGGTTGAGGCAGCAGTGAGCCGTGATCAACCACGGCACTCCAGCCTGGGCGGCAGATCAAGACCTTGTCTCAAAACAAACAAACAGAAAACTAGAAATGGACTTACCATATGACCCAGCAATATATCTCAGAGAAATGAAGACTTATTTTCATGCAAAAACTTACATCTGAATATTAACAGTGGCTTTGTAAGTGCCCCAAGCTGGAGGCCTGAGAAGCTGCACAACCGCACCCTAGAACAGTGCTCAGCAGCAGGAGGGACAGACTGTGGGTGAAGTTTGGGCTGATCTGGAAGAAATGGATGAGAAGGAGCCAGTCTCAGAAACACACCTCGTGTGCAGTTCCTCCGCATAGCGCTCCTGAAATCACATGGCTGCCCCATGATGAGGACAGATCAGTGGCTGCCAGGGTTGGGGAACCGGGCTGTGGACAGGCGTGGCTGTGGAGGGGTAAGCGTGAGAGAGCCTTGGGGAGAGCGTCTGGTGAGGACCTTGATTACGGTGGTCACAGGAAGCTACACGCAGGAGAAAATTGAACACAGCGGTGCATGCACAGGGCAGTGATGCAGGTCATTTGGCGGCCCGCAGGCACCCCCAGCCCTGCTGGGTACTCATCACTCTGCCTTCTGCCCCCCACCACCCCTGCCCCCTCTGACGCCTCCTCTTGTCTTCCAGCCATGGCTGAGAGGTGTGCCTCAGCTTAACCCACTCAGTGATGGACTCCAGTGCCTGCAAGAAGTCTCACCAGAGTAAGAAGTGGAGGATCCAGGCCCAGGAGAATTTTGCCAAGAAGTTTCCGTACAGGTGCGGGAGGCTGACACCTCTGGAGACAAGCCCTGCCTCCCCCAGGTCACCCCAGCATCCTGGGAACTCAAATGCATTCTGTGGGGCTGCAGCTGGGAGGGGGTTTTGTCCACAGGGAGACCCTTAGCAGCCCTTGCCCAGCTGACAGTCTGGGGTCCGCCTTCGTTACCCCCATCACAGCCTAAGCCGAGGGGCCTCTGGGTGGGCTCAGGCCTCCCTGGGTCATCCCAGAGCCCAGGCCAGCTGCTTCCCCAAGTCACGCGAGGAGCATGGCCACAGACGACTGCCCCTCCTGAGCTGTGTTGGAATTGGTGTGCTGGGCACCCATTGTTTGTGAGCTCCTGGGACTCGCAACTAGCCAGGATAACGGGCAGCCCGAGGGGGCCTGGGCCAAGTCTCCACAGGGCACTTCACATAAGGACAGAGCCACGGGCCAAAGAGGCAAAACAAATGCAAGGGAAATCTTGCCAGCAATGCCTGGGGCGCAGGGCAGCTGGCCTCCCACCCGCAGGACAGCAGGCAGCACCTGGCACTGGGGCTCAGCTTGGCACCGTGCAACCTCAAGCTTCCCACTCCATGCTCACCCCCCACCCCAGAAGCAAGTGTTGTGCGCCCAGCAGTGGCCCTGGATGCTTGGCAGGGCTACCCACAGGGACCACGGGGGACCACCAGGGCAGCCACGCTCGAGGGAGGTGGGGACGATGAGCTCCATGCTGTGTCCCTGTGCCGGGCCAGCTGAGCACCTGTTCTTGTCCTTGCCCCAGGAAACTGTAGCCATAACCTTGCACCCCATTCTGTCCCCCACCGCAGACACCATCACATGAGGCCCAGGTGGCAGGTACACACCACACAGAGTGGCCTCAGGTTGAAACCAGGGGAGGCCAGCACCCAGGGGCTCAAGTGCTCTGCACCGTTTGGCTGCTGTGGCCATGACAAGGCTCTGGAGCAGGCTGCAGCTTAGTTCCCACCTCCTGGCTGTGGAACCTCTGTGCCTCAGTTTCCTTGTCTGTAAAGTGTGGGTAACACCTGCCTCACAGCATGCTTGTCAGCTGACATATGGGCTAATATTTGTGAAGCACTTAGAACAGTGCCTAGCAGATGGAAAGTTCCAGATGAGTGAGAGTTACTTCAGGAGGCTGGTGGATGGTGGCCATGTTGACATTCCAAGTGCTGTTGCAGGTTGTCGTGGCTGACAGAGCCCGACCCTGAGCCCCTGCAGCCCTGGGAGGTCACAAACGACTCGAACACGGTGCAGCTGCCCCTGCAGAAGAGGTTGGTGCCAACGAGGTCCATCCCAGTCCGAGGGTAAGTCCCTGCCCTGATGCCACCACCCCCACTGGCTGTGTGCATGCTGCCTGGCTTTCTGTCCCCCAGTTTTGCATGCAGACGTTCATGTTATCCTCCCAGCACGCGCCACTTTAAAGCTGAGGAAACTGAGGCAGAGAAGGGGGATGCTAAAGCCTGATAATTGTTCCCACAGCCAGGCAGCATCCAGGCAAGGGCACACAGAACCTTCCCTGGGCAGGGCCCAGGCCACCGGGGTTAGGCCTAGTTGGAGGAGTGGTGGAGAAACTGGCCTCAGTGCAGCAGGAGTTTAGCCAAGTCCTCCACATGGGAGAGCAGCAAGGGAAGGAGCCAGGAGCTTCTGCACTCACTGTGGCTGCACTGGGCCGGCTAATGCTGTACTCCAAGGGTGGAGGCCCTGGCAGGGACCTCTGCACTGGGTGGCCCTCAGCTGACCACAGCACAAACTCTCATGCCCCCTTGTCACCCCATGCATGGGGCGCTCAAAGAAACCCTGCACACCTTTGGAAAGATCCAGCCACGGAAAAGCAGACCCTCAGGCACACCTACTTCCTCCTAAACAGATGTGGAGAAAGAAACAGAGCTTCTGACCTGGTGTCTCCTCAGTCATGCACGGCACGGGGAACAGCTGTGTGGCACCGAAGGGCTTCCTCCACCAGCGGTGCAGGACCCCTAGCCTCCTGAATGCCCCGGCCCCACTGATGCCCTGGCCCCCCGCCCACTCCAGTTAATGTCAGGGGCAGGGGGGGGTCTGTGTTGACTTTTCCATGCCCATTGTTTGATATAGTGCCTGTCAACTCTGGCCAGCCATGAGGATGCACACGCGTTCCCCTGAACACACACCTGGAGAGATAGTAGTGCCACGCACACACACACACACACAAAGAACAGACTTACATGCACATCCAGCACACAAACGGCCCTGGCCTTTGCCAGGCCTCACTCCCCGTAGTTCGGCTACAGGAGCATCAGATCCCCAGGCTTTTGCCCCACATCGCCGAGCTGAAGCAATGGGGCTTAGCGGCCAGGGCTGGGCTCTGAGAGCTCAGATGTTCCTGGTCTCAGATTCTACCCATGCAAAATGGACTGGCTTAGAGTCAGGGGCAGCTGTGGGGTCAGAGCAGAGGCCTGGGGCTGAACCCCTGCTGCTGGGAACATGTCAGGGAGCTGAAGGGGGCAGTGGGCTGAGCCAAGGCTGGGGAGAGATAATTGACCAGGGACCAAGCGGCTCCCAGGGCCCAGCCACAGCAGGGAGTTGGTCCCATGCCAGGGCTGGGGGAGTGGGCATTGGTGGGTTTCCACATCTCTACGGCCGGGCCCATGAGCACAGGAGGTAGGGAGGGGGCTGTGGGTGTCAGCCTCAGTCAAATGGCAGCAAAACAATGGGGAGCAGGCAGAAGGGAGCTTTCCCACGCCATCCTGTCGGGGAGCTGCGGAGACAGTCAAGCCTGTGGGTGGCATGCTGGGTCCTGCATGTAGCTGCTGGGAGATGGGCTGGAAGGAGGAGTGGGAGACAGAGGGTGTCCTCACAGTCAGGTTGGCATGGCAGAGAAGTAAGTATGCCTCCGGCAGGTGCTAAAAATAAAGCTTGCTTAGTGGTTGGGCAGGACTTGAGACCACGTCCCCAGCCACTTATGGGCTGGGGCTCAGGAGGCACTGGGGAGGCTCCTAGATTCTGGCTTGGATGTCAGGTGGCTGGAGGAGCCTGTGTGGGGGGGTGAGTGTGCGGTGCCCCCATGGCTTCCTGGGACATCAGGTGGCAGAGCCTCTGTGTGGAAGGGGCCAGGTCAAGCCTGGTTGGGAGTAGATCTCAGTTGGAGCCCTCCCAGATGTGGCCCTGGCTGACTTCTCTGGGCTGCAATGGCTGCAGCCAGCAGGGGTCCTGAAGGCCAGGCGTGGCTCTGTGTGGCTTCTCTAGGCTCGGGGCTCCAGATTTTACATCACCGTCTGGCTCCTGCCCGGCACCACTACCAGCACCATCACCACCTCCACTGTGCAACCTTTGGGAACTCAAGTTGCTGAGTCGCCGCTTCCCCAGACAACTCGCCTTCCTGCTGTCCACCCGGCACACTGAGGCTGCCTGCCCCCAGACCAGCAAGGCGGCAGGGCTGTCCAGGGGCCTCTCCTAGAGACTGGGCTCTGTGTGTGGCCTTCTTATTGGCCACCTTCTCCTTGGCAGGCTCTGGGCAGTAGCCACAGAGACTTTAGTAAAGGGATCAGCCTTCATGGCCATCATAGACCGGGAGTGGTTTGTGGTCCCCCCAAAAAGCTACACCAAGCTAATAAACTGCGAGTTCCCACCCCACTTCCAGCTGGAATGATCACTTTGCCTCCCTGAGCCTTCATTTTCTCATCTCTAAAATTGTTGTAATAATGTTTAATCTTGCAGGGTTGGTGTGAGGATTAAAAAGAGCATGAATGTCACTTCTAGGACTTTATCCCAAATGTACACTCACACAGGTAAGTAAATGCTGTTCACTCCAGTGCTGCTGGAAACAGCAAAGGATTGGAAAGCAGCTAAACTGTTTGCTAAACACTCACAGGAAACTGCTAAATTATACAACTACTCCCGGAAATCTTAGGCAGCCATTCAAATGTAGAGGCAGCTCTTTATAGACTGATCTGAATGATGTACAGGTCTGTTACAATTTTTGTTAAAAAGCACAGCAGAAGAGTGTGTCTGATATGCTGCCATCTTGTGTTTACTAAAAACGGTGTGTGTATGTGTGTGTGTGGGGGGGGGGGCGTGGATGAGGAGCAGGCAGCAATCATTACCTTTGAGGAGGAGAATGGGGGACCTGGGGACAGGACCGAGAGTGAGGCACACCATTTTGTGGGTTGTCATACATGAGCCTAATGCCATATTCCTGTATTACAACATCAGTAATGTAAGGAGCGTGGTGTGGCTGCTGGAGGCTGGTGATGCCTTTGTAAAGCAAGACAGCAGCACTGGGCAGCGGGGTGCCTGCTGAAGATTTAAGGGTCCCCCCACTGTGTTCTACAAATACAGGGGCTAGAAAGTCACCTTGGAGTTCCTTGGGAGGGTGAATAAAATCAGGACACTTTGCAGCCTTCTCCCTGGAGTGGGATGTGGCTTTATTGTCTTCTCCCCAGGTGGGCAAGTGGCTTTATTGTCTCAGAAAGGAAGTGAAGTGAGGACCCTTGTGATGAAAAGATTGAAGGGGGTTGGCTTCCCAGGCCCTGGGGGCAGGACAGGGGTGGGTTCCCAACCTGCACGAAGCAGACCCTGGAGTCACATCTGTGGTGTTTGGGGAAGGGTGACCGGGCTGCACTGTGCCGCCCCAGCCAAGACTCCAGGCTCCCTCCCCAGGTGGGACCCCAGGTCCAGGCAGGGGACTCACAGCATTTGCCTGGGGATAGAGTACAGCTTCCAGCAGCACCCACAGACCTGCAGGAAGCAAAGATCCCTGGGGTCCCTTCCTGTGAGGGTGGGAGCCAGGCTGATCTTCATTTGGACTGTATAAGCTTCGAGGAGGTTGTCTCTGAGGTTTAAGCTATGCACTGTTTGATATAAGCAAAATACAGCAACGCATGTTTACCATGCAGCATAACCAGGGACACGAGACCCACTCTTATCCCTGCTGGGTGCTCCTTCCCCCACTTCACCACACCCTGAGTCCCTCGTACCCTGCCCATCAGGTCACCACATCTTTCTCCCCACTTAAAAAATGTTATAATTTGGCCAGACATGGTGGCTTACGACTGTAATCCCAACACTTTGGGAGGCTGAAGGCAGGTGGATCACTTGAGCCCAGGAGTTCGAGACCAGCCTGGGCAACATGGTGAAACCCCGTCTCTACTAAAAATACAAAAATTAGCTGGGCATGGTGGCATACGCCTGTGATGCCAGCTACTCAGGAGGCTGAGGCAGGAGAATGGCTTGAACCCAAGAGGTGGAGGTTGCAGTGAGCTGAGATCGCACCACTGCACTCCTTGAAATAACACATTGTTTGCTTTTTTCAATTATATAAGACTGTGTCAAACTCTGCAACTTTTTCCCCTCCACAGCAAGTTGCTAAGAGTCATGTGATGATGATGCTACTGCTGTAGTTCCTTCATTTTCCACTGTTTCTCATTCCATGATGTGTCCATTCTCTTTTGGGTAGATGTCTGGGTTGTTTCCACTTTGTGCTACTGTGGGTGCTGCTGCTCTAGGCATTCCTGTCCCTGTCCCCTGGGGTGTACTGTCTCCCCTCCCCAACCCATGATAGGATTTGCTGGTTGGTTGGTTGGAGGGCTCCTGAGCACCTCCTTTATCAGCTCTTGCCAGAACAATTTCCAGAGAGTTCCCAGCCTCTCCAGGTTCCCTCTGGTCCACACCTGCACTATAGGCAGGGCCCAGAGCTTTTGGGACTGGAGCAGGAGGGGTCGCTGGCTGCCTGCTCTTCCACTCATGATAGCAAAGCTGGTGGTGGTTTGTAGAAAAAGTTGGTAACTCATTACCTGAATCCAGAGTCAATTATAAAAACATACATGGTCTGTAATTCGTGCCTCCTCTCCTGGGCGTTTAAAGGAAGAATCTGAGGGCAGCTGGGATGTGTTTGCAGCCCCTGCCTTGTGCACTGAGTTTAGGTTTATGTGCATGTTATTCCTGCAAAGAAGAAAATGAGCCCCCAGGAAGCTGCACCGCATGGAAGCCCTTGCAGAGGAGCGGGTGACAGCTGAAATGTTTGACAGGAGAGAGATGGTGCAGCAATACTCTCTAAGCACAGCTACTCCATAAACTTTAGAAATGCTCACACAGTGGCCCAGATAGCAACATGGGCCCTGTGCCCTGCATCTCTGAGGCCATCTGGGTCCCCATGTGCCCTTAAGCTGTGAGCAGTTACAGTCAAACACAGATCCACAGGTAGAAAGGATGAGGCACGGTGGAGGTGCATTGGGGAGTGTGGACCCTCTCCCAGGAGTTTATCCTGCAGTCACACTCACACCTATGCAGGAGGAGGGTATGCAACAACATTCATGTCGGCACTGCCACAGAAAAGGATCCAAACTAACCTAGCATTTAAGACCAGTGGAACAAAAGCAGCATGTCATCATGGATTTATGGTTGATTCCCTCTTTGCCTCAGTCCCGCAGAACCAGCTCTGGAGGCAAGGATGGAGTGTGAGTAGTTTTTGTGAGAGGCAATCCCAGTTAGCCCATAGAGAAGTAGGGAGGAGACAGGGAAGGGACGGAACCAGACAAGGAATGTACCCTTGAGCTGGCAACCACGGCTTAGTCTGCTGGGACCACCGTAGCAAACACCACAGGCTGGGGGGAGTTAAACAATGTTCATTTTCTCCCAGTTCCAAGGAAGGCTGGACGTCCAAGGTGAAAGTGCTAGCTGCCTTGGTTCCCTGATGGGGGCTCTCTTCTCTCTTCTGGGCTTGTAGATGGCTGCTTTCTCCCTGTGTGAGAGGGAGAGGCGGGGAGGGAGAGAGAGAGAACTCTCCAGTGGCTCTGCTTATGAGGACACTAATCCCACCATGGAGACCGCATCCTCATGACCTCATCTCAACCTGATCACCTCCCAAAGGCCCCATCGCCAAATAGCATCACATTGTGGGTGAGGGCTTCCACATAAGACTGGGGAGAACATAATTCAGTCCACAGCAGCCACTGAGGGCATTTGGTGCCCAGTCCCCGTGGGGAAATCTGGGGCACCATGCAGATTGTGTCTCAATGTCCTTCATGCAGGGATAAAAGCTGGAGCATTTATCGCCCGACTTCCAACAGATGTAGGTGAGGACTGCTTCCAGGGGGCACTAACTCCTGCACACCCAGCCTTCTTGTGCCCAGGCCAAGAGGCCTGGTGGTCAGAGGGAGACTGCGGGAGGGTTGCAGATGCTAGGGAGCGCATTGAGGCACCCGACCTAAAACTGGCTGTCAGTTCCCAGACTCCCTTGCCACTGGGAATACAGTGGGCTAGGTTCAGGCCAATGGCATTGCACTGGAAATGGAATGGACTGTCCAGTTTGTGTCTTTAAAGCCAGCTTGGGTGCCCTTCTTTTCCCTTTGACATTGGGATACTTGAAAAGTGAATGGCTCACTCTCATGGAAAAGGGCCAGGCCCTAGGGACTAGGGAGCAACAAAAGAGAAGGGTCCTGGGCTCCAAGTGGCCCATTGGAGCATCTGTCCCACCAGCCCTCAGCCCCCTTCCTCTGGATAACAGAAAACACCTTAAACGACTGTCATCAAGCCTTTGTCCCAGGCAGCCGCACCTTTATCTTCATGCAGGAGCCACAGCATGATGGGGAAAGGTGGCATCCTGAGATCTGGGCCCACTGACCCCTTGGAGTGTGCTGGTGACACACATTTGGAGCTGCATGCAGCAGCCCTGGGCCTTGCCTTCACCCTGCTACTGTCTTACTCGTTGCTGAAGCCCACAGATGCATTCGGCTGTGCTTCCAAAACAATAATGCATTACATCTCGCTGTTTGTGAGAAACCAGGGATTTATTTTAAATTTTAAGCATTGGAAACATCCCTCTCAGGAAGCTGCCTGAATGACAAAGCCACAGAATAAAACTGAAAAGAAAAACAAGCCCTACCCCATAACTGCAGAAAGTTGGTTAACATTTTCCTGACAATGAAAGCCAGAAAAAAGCAAAAGAGCACTTACACTTATTTTAAAGAAGTCTGTAACCCAAACCAGCAATGGCACCCCATCCTGGGAGGTGTCCTGCCAGCACTATCCAACTTTAAGAGACTGAAAACCTGGGAAGTAAAAGACAATTTCAAGGAAGTTAAAATGCCGCGTGACCTTGGGTTTGTGCCATCAGCCCTTGTGGGCACTGGACTATGGTTTTAACAATCACTTGCCTGAAGGAGGTGCCAGATGGAGAATCACCTGGGCACCCCCCTGTGTTGTCCAGCTCTGCACATGTGACCCTGTCTTTCTTGTATCCTCTAGTGATCCAGCTGGGATCCCACAGGGTGGTCAGCCTGTGATCTGTGAGGACACAGACGTTCTGGCACCAGCCAGAGAGGAAACAGGCCACAGCAGGCCAGAGCAGGTGGAGTTCCCCAAGGACAGCCTCCAGAGCTGCCCCAGCGCCCTCAGTCCTCGAGGGCCTGGGCTGTGGCCCTGCACATACAGCAGAGGGTACAGAGCTGCATGTGGTGGGCACAGCGTCTGGGTGACACTGGGTGCCTGCAGCATGTACACATGGGGGCATCAGTGGGGAAGCAGTGGAGTAGCTGCCCACACAAGGGACTGTGAGTGTGATAACTGCCAGCATGTCCAGGTGCTGAGGGCATGACAGCAGGAGGCAGGGCACATCTAATTGTGAGACACCTGGGAGTGAGACATCCAGATGGGTGTCAGTTTCAGCAAACAGGTCCCATCGGGGGCTGTGTGGGAGCTGAGTGAGCTGGGAACAAAGGCATGTGTCATCAAAATGGGTGTGCAACAATTGCACACACAGTGGCCTAGAACACAGCATGTGTGGCCTCTAAGGGAGCATGTGAGGGCCAGGGAGCCCCTCACAAAGACAGTGGCCCCAGTGTGGCCAAGGCCCCATCCTTCCCTCCTCAGCCTGTCTCTAAACAGTGGGGCTCTGGCCCAGTACCTTAGTCCCTTTTCTGTTACTTGTAACAGAGCTCCTGAAACTGGGTAATTTATAAAGAAAAGAAATTTACTTTTTACAGTTATGGAGGCTGAAAAGTCCCAGCGTTAGGGACTGCATCTGGTGAGGGCCTTCTTGCTGACAGGGGCTCTGGACAGTCCGGAGGTGGTACAGAGCATCACGTGGTGAGGGGGCTGAGTACACTACCTCAGGTCTGATTTACTCTTCTTATAAAGCCACCGGTCCCACTCCCATGGTGACTCATTAATCCATCAACCCATCAATCCAGTAAACTACCAATGGATTAATTGATCCGTGAGGGAAGAGCTCTCATGACCCAGTCACGTCTTAATGGTTGGGTCATCTCTCAAGACTGCCACATTGTGGATTAAATTTCAACATGAGTTTTGGAGGGGACAAATATTCAAACCATAGCACCCAGGGAACGCTGGAAATGGTGCAAGGCCCTGGGCTTTGTATGTCCCTCCAGTGGGGGAAGGGCCCAGGCTGGGGGAGGCCTCATGGGGAAACCAGTGGCAGCTGCAGCCCCTTCCCAGGTCCACTGGAGTTGGCCACCCCATTCCTGCTGGCAGGGCCTCTGGACACAGCCCTGGGGGAGCTCAGAGACAAGTGGCCCAAGACACACCCACACTCACACATTCACACATACACATACACACAATTCCTCTCACACACTCATGCACACATGCACACTCTTACACTCATATACTCACTTATGCACACTCTCACTCATATACTCACACACTCATGCACACTCTCACAGTCACACACGCACAAAGGTGGGAGGCAGCACAAGGCCCAGGGCTTGGCTGAGCTGGTGTGGGCTTCAGTCCTTGGCCCAGGTCAGGGTGAAAGAGTAGATTTTCCCCAAGTTGTCAGTGCCAGAATTTAGCACCTCCTACACAGTGCACTCTCTTCACCTTATGCCCCATGTAGCCCCTCACTCCTATATGCACCACTAGGAGGTACCCAGGCTCTGTGGGCACTCTCATCTGATCTTCTTATGCCACTTGGCAACAGGGAAACAAAGGCTTGGAGACGGAGTGGTTTGAGATCAGACAGCTGCAGTCTCCCAGAGAAAATGGCCCAATGAAGCAGATAAACTCCAAAAAATCAGAAAGTAACAAAATACATTTATTTCAAAACCATGACCGCCCAGCTCACCAAAGTCCCATAAAACCTGTGACCGCATTGCACCAGGGGCTCTGTTGGCATGGAGCCTGAAGACCCAGCGTCTTGCCAGACTGAGACCGAAGGTGGCGCCTGGGTAGGGCCAGCCGCGTGGGAGAGGAGAGGAGACCCGATGGCAGTGGAAGGCAGCTCCCACCTGGCTCCCGGGACGGCCCCATCGTGAGGCCAGCCAAGGGAGGGCTTTCGTCCTTGGCCGCAGCTGTCCTTGCCAGGGTGGGCGAGGTGGGGAGGACACAGGCTCGGGCCACACTGACACCGGTGTCAGCATTATGTTCTGATGCACCATGAACAGGTTCAGGGGCAGGGCTGACCCCCAAAATGGCCTTTAAAAGCCTAAAACCCTGGTTATCAAGTCCTTGCCCATCTACGGGGCCTGGAGAGGTGCCTGTCAGCTGGAGCAAGTGGAGGAAGCAGGCCTCAGGCGACAGGCCGAGGCAGGCACACGCGTGCAGGGCCACCTGAGATGGGCTGCCCCCAAGCCTGGCCAGGTGTGCCCTGCGCCCGCTGGCCCGGCGGCCAGGTGAGTGCACGCAGTGGCTCTTGAAGAGGGGTCCTGGGGCCGGCAGCACCTGCATTCCCCGGGGGTCTTGTCGGAAAGGCACTTGCCCCGCGTGGCCACAGGACCTCCAGGACCGCTAGAGCAGCCGCAGGTAGGAGGGGGCGGAGTAGTTGAAAAGCAGGAAGTCCATCTTGTAGAGGTCGAAGAGGCGCCGCTGGTAGAAGGGGCTGATGTCCCGGAAGAGGCGCGCTGCCAGGTCGCGGGAGGCGGCGGCTCCCCGGGGCCGCGGCGGCCCAGGGAAGCTCAGGTCGGATGCGCCCGCCAGGCCCAGCACGAAGGCCGCGTCCTCCGCCAGCGTCTCGAACTTGCCCACGACGTCGTAGCGGAGGCGACACGGGTGGCAGAGCGCGTGCGCGCGCTCCCAGTGCTCGTTGAAGGGCTCCTCACGCCGCGTGCGCGGGTCCAGCAGGTAGGCCAGGAACTCCGCGAAGCGCACGTCGTGGCCGCGGGCCCGGGCGTCGGGGAGCGCGCGCGGCCGCAGGCGCTGAACGATGCGTGCACCGTAGCGCCTCTGGAAGGCGGCGCTGTAGGGGCGCGCGAGCTTGTTGCGGTAAGCCGATGCCAGGCGCTCGAAGGGCTCCCGCACGAACAGGAAGGCCAAGTAGGCGCGCAGGCGCCGGTTGATCTCGGCGGGGCTGAAGTCGGCCAGTGAGGGCAGGCGGCCAGGCGCGTGCGCCTCTTGCGCGGAGATGGCGCGCGGGTCGCCGCGGGCTTGGCCGCTCAGCGCCAGCAGCACGCGCTTCCAGTTGGTGCAGGCCACCTTGGGCACGTAGCAGTAGAGCAGGCCATGCGCGTCGTCCACCAGCACGTGCCGCAGGTCCTCCGGCTGTAGCAGGCGCTGCCGGCGTGAGTGGCGGCTACAGGCGCTGTTCAGCAGGTCGCGCCGCTGCCGGTGCACCTTCGCCAGGGTCGAGCGCGGGTCCTGTGGGCGACAGGAGACGGGACAGGGGGACGCGTCAGGGCAGCGCGGGCTCCCTGACTCTGGCGCTGCCCCGGCGGGATGCGCCCGGGAATTGGGAGCAGGAGCTGCGCCGGGCACCCAAATTCGAACCCCAGGGCTGTCACTGATCACTGTGTGGTTTAGGGCCCGGGCATCTGTCCTGGGCCGAGATTTGGGAGAAACGGATTCTGACTTTGCTGAGGCTGGGAGAAGGACGCGCTGGGTATGTATGCCGTGGGGCACTCAGAGGAGGAGTGATAAGGAATTGTGGCATCAGAGTGCGCTCCGTGTGAGTACGGGCACACATGGACTCTTCAATGTTTACTAAAAGCAGGAGGCTGCATAAGAAGCAGCGCTGTTTAATTCCACACCCAATTGAAAACTGCAGCCGCTTGTGGGCTGTCGGGCTGCTTTGGCTCAATAATAAATGGGCTGATTCTGTACTTACCAATCAGCACTCTCCTTTGCACCTTCACTCCTTTTATTCCCCCAGCAAATTCTTATCTCAGCGCTGGGACAGGAAGCCTGCCCCTTCTGAGCCTGTCCCTCCTATGAGAAGGAACAACGACTGGCTTTAACCTAGCACCTGCTGCGGGCCAGCAGCCTCACCGCTCTCCGAATTAGGTCCGGAGCCCCTCGCAGCCTCAGCCATGTAGAGACCCAGGCCAGCGCTTCCATGCTTCCAGCTCCCCTTTCTTCAGATCACTCCTGCCCCACCCGGGGTTCTTATCTCCAAGATTAACACCCCTGCCTATGATTTTTTGTGTAAGAGTTCATAAAAGAAAGTGTTTTAACTTCTTAAAATTACATTAAGAGCCTTCAGGATATAATTAAAAAGACAATTAGGAATTGGTGAGGATGTGGAGAAACTGGAGCTTTCACGAGTTGCTGGTGGGAGTGTAAAGGGGTGCCGTTGCTGTGGAAAGCAGTTTGGCAGTTCCTCAAAACCAGTAAACATGTGACTCAGCAATTCCGGTCCTAGGCATATTCTCAAGAGAACTAAAAACGTGCATCATGCAAAAAACTTGTCCATGAAGTTCATAGCACCAATATTCACATTAGCCAGAAAATCCAAGTGTGCACTGCTGAGTGGGCAAATGTATGCGGCCATCCATGCAATGGAATATGACTCAGCCATGAAAGGAATGCGGTGCTGACACATGCTGCCACATGGGCTGACCTGGAGGGCGTTATGCCAAGCGAATAGTACAGTCACAAAAGGACGAGTGCCAAACAGTCCCACTTAGTGAGGTCCCTAGAGCAGTCACATCCAGAGAGACCAAAACTAGAACCTGAGTGAACTGTGGAGGACTGCTGATAGACACTGGGCTGCTGATGGACACTGGGCTGCTGATGGACTGACACTGGGCTGCTTTTGAGGGTGATCACAATGTTTGGAAATTAGACAGCGGTGATAGTTACAAAACCTTATAAAAATGCTGCAAACCAATTGTAGGGTTTGAAAGAGTTGTATGGTATGTGAGTTCTCAGTTAAGAAAAAAGGCTTCAGGTGTTTCCATTTCAGAGGAGGCCAAAGCGGCCTTTGGAGGAACACCAGAGCCAGGGCCTGCTTGGGAGGGTCTGACGCCAGTGGGGTGGGAATGCGTGTGTGTCCTGTGCGTGTGTGGTGCACGCGTGTGGTGTGTGCCTGTGGTGCATGATGTCTCTGTGTGGTGTGTGGTGTGCGTGTGTGTGGCATGCGTGTGTGGCATTTGTGTGTGTGTGTCATGCGTGTGTGGCATTTGTGTGTGTGTGGCATGTGTGGCAGGTGTGGCATGTGTGGCGGGTGTGTGGTGTGTGTGGTGTATGTATGGTGTATGTGTGGTGTGTGTTTGTGTGTGTGTGTGGTGTGGGGTGTGTGTGTGTGATGTGTGTGGTGTGTGTGTGGTATGTGTGTTTGTGGTGTGTGGTGTGGTGTCTGTGGTGTGTGGTGTGTGTGTGCTGTGTGTGTGGTGTGGAGTGTGTGGTGTGGGGTGTGTGTGTGGTGTGGGGGGTGTGTGTGGCATATGTGTGTGGTGTGTGTGTGGTGTCTGTGGTGTATGTGCTGTGTGTATAGTGTGGGGTGTGTGTGGTGTGTGGGGTGTGTGTGTGCTGTGTGTGTGGTGTGGAGTGTGTGGGGTGTGTGTGGTGTGGGGTACATATGTGTGTGTGTGTGCAGTGTGTGTGCGGTGTGTGTGGTGTGTGCATGGTGTGGGGTGTGTGGGGTGTGTGTGGTGTGGGGTACATATGTGTGTGTGTGTGCAGTGTGTGTGGTGTGTTTGTGGTTGTGTGTGTGTCCATGTACGCTCCTGCACACATGTGCACACTATGCTCCTGATGCCTTTCAAACTATCCCACAGCTGTCTAAGATACACTAAGTGGGAAAACCAAAGTGCAGAACAGGGCTTAACATTTATGTTGAAAAAGGGAAAGAAATAAAAAACGTTTCACAAAGGGTGGGTGGAGGGAGACTTATTATTTTAGAGATACGTTCAGACATAGTCACAGAATCCACAAGGCTGGGACTGGCTTCGCAGTCATCCCAGGTGGGAGTAGGTGGTGGGAAGGTGGGGGTTCCTTGAACTATTCTCCCTTCTTCTTGCATATGCTTGAATTTTTCAAAATGAAAAGACAGAGGCAGACAGACATAGGACATACATGCCTGTAGGTGAGATTCTCAAGAAGTTACTGTAAGCACACGGCAAAGCAGTGGATACTACTTACACGCCTAGAGCATGTCTGGAAGGACACCCAGGGATCTGGTGGCCTCCGAGAGGACAGGTGCTGGACAAGGAGACCTACTCTTCACTGTGTCTACCCTTCTGTAGTGTCAAATGCCATGTCATGTGCTTACATTTTTAAAATCTCACCATTTTGAGAAACAGTGAACCCTGAGGACATCATGCTAAGTGAAATAAGACAGTCACTTAGCCACACTCACCATGGGAAGGCTGCCAGGTTCAGCTATGCCATGGGGGTATGGGGACACCTGGGAGACCCTGTTTCCACCGTCAGGACTGACCTTAGAAGCCTAGCTCCACATGGTGCCAGGAGAGGCTGTGCCCCCGGGGCCCACAGCCAAGGTCTGCTTTCAGCTTTTAGATGACCCAACACATTTCTTGTGGCAGGGAATGTTGGCCATCCGGCCACCTGTCAGTCTTCCTCCTTCCTTGCTGGCCGACCCCGGCTGTGTCAGGGCATGAGCCCAGCTTCAGGGAGCCATATCTTCAGCTTCGTGTGTCGTTGCTGAAGCACTGGGTCCGGGGGTTCGGGGGGAATGTGGCCTGGCTCTGCCTGAGGCGATATCAGGGGATTAGCCAGATGACTCCCAGGAAAGACTCCCTTAGGGTGAAAAGTCAGGGGAAACCCTTACCCCACCACTCACTTTCTGCCTGGGATGCCCTCCTGTGAGGTGTCTGCAGCCCTGGCAGTCCTCTTATAGTCAGGAGGCCAGCTCTATGACAGAAGTCAACATCCGGAGGACGATGGTGGGCAGCTGGCTGCTGCTGAACCGTGGGCTGCCAGTCTCCGAGCAGCTCAGGAATGGGCACTAACTCTCCTCATGGCTGGAAGCAGCTTGGGCTGCCACTGCTGTTGCTCATAGGCACATGAATACCCATTTTACAGAAGAGAAAACTGAGACTCAGGGGAAATGAGTTGCCTGAGGTCACACAGCTCTCTTTGGGGAAGCCGGGGCTCCAACTCAGGCCCCTTGGGACTCTAAAGCTGGACCTATGTCCACTGTCCGGGGCTGCACCTACAGCTCCTGTCCTCACCCCCACAGTGTGGCTGCCTGGATTCCTTGCTGGCTCTAGTCCATAGAAGCTCTGTGACCTTTGCAGGGCACTTGCCTCCCCATGCCTGTGTCCTTGTCTGTAAACAGGGACAACGGCCCCACCTTATGGGTTGACGTAATTAGTCCACAGAACTAAAGGGCCTGGCACGTGATCAGCACTTGTTGGCCAGATGGTTTTTACTATGTTATTTCTCCAGCCGCAAGGTGCTAAGCCTCCAGGGAGTTGACACCCAACGGTCACAGGGTCCTCAGGCTGTGAGGGGCCATCTGCCCCTCAGAAGCCGCCAGAGCTAGTGGAACCCAGGGCCCTACTGAGTGCCTGTCCTACCGTCAGCCTGCTGTGTGGCCCAGAGTCAGTCAGTCACACTCTGCGAAGGAAGGCCTCCCTACCTGCTTGTAGGCTTGGGCCAGATGAGCTCCACAGGCCCCTTCCGCTCAGCCCTCAGGATTTGGGGAGCAGCCACCTACCCAACACCACCCTGATCCTTCTCTACACAGCAGTAGGGATACCCCAAGGGTGAAAATCTGATGCTGTCCTTCCTTGCTTAAAACCTTGCATGGCTCCCCGCTACCCTTGCACACCTGCAGGGCCTGCGTGCTGCCCACTTCTCCAGGCTCCCCTTGTGCTCCCTCTCCTGTCCTCCACTCCCCGCCAGGCCTTTGGCACAGCTGTTTCCTCTGCCTGTGGCGCTTGGCCCTTCCTGTCTGCCTATTGACTCTTGCTCTTCACCTCAGCTTCAATGTCCCTACCTTGGAGAGGAGTTGCTCTCCCCCATCTAAACTAGGATCCTCTCAGGAGAGCTCTTGTTGCACCTCATACTCCCCTTTAGAGCAGAATTAGTTAAGTATTAGTGTGGGTGGTGATCAGATGACATCTTCCCCTGCTGGACTGGTGGCTCCACTAGGGGAGGGACCTGGCCAACCTGCTTGCTGCTGGATCTCAGCATCCTGACCACAGCCTGCATGCAGTAGGTGCTCAATATGTGCTGTCCGAATAAGTACTTGTGTGTGTGGGGTGTGTGTGTGTGTGTGTGTGTGTGTGTTTGTGTGTGTGTGTGAGAAAGAGAGAGAGAGAGCCAGAGTGTGGGGTTCTTGGTGGTGGGGTACAGTTGTATGTGTGTATTTGGGGTTGTGTGTGGTCCCTGCAGGCCCCCAGCTGAAGTTAGGTGTGTGGGCCAGCCAGCCCCGCCTGGTCCATCTGTTTGAGAATCACGCCGGGGCTGGGGGTCCCTGCACACCTCCCCACTGCAGCACACACTGAGATTTAGTCTCCCACGAGACTGTAAACTTCCTGAGGGCAGGTACAGGGTCTGTTTTGACTCTTTTTTATCTGCAACACAAAGAACTATGCCTGGCCTCAGATTGTTGATGGATGGGAAGATAGGTGGGTAGAGACTCCAGGTCTCTCATCTTACCCCCAAGATTTGCCCTTGTCACTGCTCTCTGACAAAGCCTGGTTTGGGGAGGATGCCCTTCTGTGCCCCAGTGTGGGGTCCAGTCTCATGCCAGCAGGTCTGCACTGTTGCTGTCAGGCTCCTGGCTGGGATGGAGGGGGGCATGCCTGGGTCGAGGGTCTGTCCACCTACCTGATCCAGGTCATAGAGCTTCTGCAGGGGGCTTCTCTTCTCCCCACCAAGCCAGCTGGAGCCCAGGGCTCTGTTTCCAAATGCTGTGGGCATAAGGAGAGAGATGTCGCCACCATATCAGAGGGACTTGCATGGACCTGGGGGTTTGGCCAACCCATCTAGGCACATTTGACCCACCTCTGGCACTCAATTTCCTTCCCGGATCTTGCCTACCTCCTAGGGGCTTGGTGGAGTGGGGGATGGCAGGGGGTACTAATGGGGCAGAATTACATCAGGGTAGTATCTTGTGTCATTCCTGCTCCCATGTCCTACCCTCCAAAGTTGGAGGGTACTAGGCAAGAGGGGACAAGTGGGAAGGTGATACCCAGCCCACCAACCCTCTAGGAAAGGCCAGATCACCCAAACTCACCCACTGCCATCTGCCCTGGCCTCATGCCCCAACCCTTGTGGGGTTCACCAGGCTGGCTGGCTGCCCAGCACCCTCAGATCCTGTGTATGGGCAGCCAGAAAGGTTTGGGCAACAGTGGAGATGGCACAGTGGGCTGTAGCCTCTCAGTGCCACCTTGCTAGGCTGGGTGACCCACTGTGGATGCCTGTGACAGCAGTGCTTCCCCATCAGGGAATATGCTGCTTCACATGGAAGCAGGTTTAGCTATCTCCAGATGAGAAGAGGGATGCTGTCTGTCTGTCTCCAGCTGAGGACAGTGATGCTGTCTGTCTGTCTCCTGGCTGAGAAAAGTGATGCTGTCCGGCTGTCTCCCGACTGAGGAAAGTGATGCTGTCTGTCTGTCTGTCTCCCGGCTGAGGACAGGGATGCTGTCTGTGTGTCTCCCGGCTGAGGACAGCGATACTGTCTGTGTGTCTCCCGGCTGAGGACAGCGATACTGTCTGTCTGTCTCCCGGCTGAGGACAGGGATGCTGTCTGTCTGTCTCCCGGTTGAGGACAGGGATGCTGTCTGTCTGTCTACCAGCTGGGGACAGCGATGCTGTCTGTGTGTCTCCCGGCTGAGGACAGGGATGCTGTCTGTCTGTCTCCTGGCTGAGGACAGCGATGCTGTCTGTCTTTCTCCAGCTGAGGACAGTGATGCTGTCTGTCTGTCTCCCAGCTGAGGACAGGGATGCTGTCTGTCTACCGGCTGGGGACAGCGATGCTGTCTGTCTGTCTCCCGGCTGGGGACAGGGATGCTGTCTGTCTCCCGGCTGGGGACAGGGATGCTGTCTGTCTGTCTCCAGCTGAGGACAGTGATGCTGTCTATCTGTCTCCCGGCTGGGGACAGGGATGCTGTCTGTCTGTCTCCCGGCTGAGGACAGCGATGCTGTGTGTCTCCTGGCTGAGGACAGGGATGCTGTCTGTCTGTCTCCCGGCTGGGGACAGGGATGCTGGTCTGTCTCCGGCTGGGGACAGGGATGCTGTCTGTCTGTCTCCCGGCTGGGGACAGGGATGCTGGTCTGTCTCCCGGCTGGGGACAGGGATGCTGTCTGTGTGTCTGTCTCCCAGCTGAGGACAGGGATGCTCTCTGTGTATGTCTGTCTCCTGGCTGAGGACAGGGATGCTGTCTGTTTTTCTCCTGGCTGAGGACAGGGATGCTGTCTGTCTGTCTCCTGGGTGGGGACAGGGATGCTGTCTGTCTGTCTGTCTCCCGGCTGAGGACAGCAATGCTGTCTATCTGTCTCCCGGCTGAGGACAGCAATGCTGTCTATCTGTCTCCCGGCTGAGGACAGGGATGCTGTCTGTGTGTCTGTCTCCCAGCTGAGGACAGAGATGCTCTCTGTGTGTGTCTCTCTCCTGGCTGAGGACAGGGATGCTGTCTGTTTTTCTCCTGGCTGAGGACAGGGATGCTGTCTGTTTTTCTGCTAGCTGAGGACAAGGATGCTGTCTGTCTGTCTCCTGGGTGGGGACAGGGATGCTGTCTGTCTGTCTCCCAGATGAGGACAGGGATGCTGTCTGTCTGTCTGTCTGTCTCCTTGCTGCACTGCTCAGTTTTCCTAGAACTATTATAAGTAAAAATCCGTTTACCTATAAATGTATTCCTTTACTCAAAATCTGTTTTAAGGAATATCTTTTTATGCATAGTCAATTAATATTAATATGTTCTCAGTAATATAGCCTATATATGATCATATGCTTCTGGATCCCATTTTCAGAAATATGATTATGCATATTAATAAACTAATAAGGTGTTAGGCGATCTTTGAAAAGATCTCAAAAACTGGCAAGACTTTTGCTAGACTGACCTAGGAGAAAATAGAAAAGACTCAAATTACTAAAAACAGGAAAGAAAGAGGGGATGTTACTACTGACCTTAAAGAAACAAGAAAGGATTACAAGAGAACTCTGAACAATTGTAGCCCAACAAATGAGAAAACATACAAGAAATAGACAAATTCCTAGAAAGACAGAAATTCTTGAAATTGACTCAAGAAGAAATATAAAATCTCAGCAGACCCATAACAAGTCAAGATGTTGAATTAGTAATAAAAAAAAAATCCCACAAACAAAAGCCCAGGATCAGATGGCTTCACTGGTAAATTTTACTAAATGTTTAAAGAATTAACACCAATCTTTCATAAACTCTTTCAAAAAACAGAAGAGGAGAGAACACTTCCCAACTCATTACATAAGGCCAGTATTATCTAGATGACCAAACCAGACAAAGACATCACAAGAAAAGGGAACTACAGAGCCATGTCCCTTATGAATATAAGTGCAAAGTTCTCAAAAAATATGGGCAAACCAAAAATAACATCCTATGAAAAAGTTTATACACCATGACCAAGTAGGATGGATCCCAGGAATGCAAGATTGGCTAAATATACACAAATCAATCAATGTAATACACTGTATTAATAGAATCAAGAAAAAAGCCCACATGCTCATCAATAAATGCAGAAAAAGCATAGGACAAAATCCAATACCCTTCTTCATGACAAAACACACTAAACAGCTTAAGAATAGAAGGAAACTTTGCCAAACTGATAAAGGGCATCAACGAAAAACCCTCAGATAACTTAATAGTGAAAGACTGGAAGCTTTCTCCCTAAGATCAGGAGCAAGGCAAGAGTGCCTGCTTTTGCCAGTTCTATTAATTATACTGGAGGTTTTATCCAGGGTAATTGGGCAGGGAAAATAAATAAAAGGCATCCAGGTTGGAAAGTAATAAGTAAAACTTTGTCTATTCATAGATGACATAACCGTATATATATATAGAAAACCCTAAAGAATTCACAAACTGTAAGAGCTAATAAATGGGTTCAGCAAGGTTGCACGATGCAAGATTAATATACAAAAGTCAATTATATTCTATATACTAGCAATGAATAATCAAACAACATCAAAATTAATAAAGTAATAAAGAAGAAGTTGGTAACAAAGGAAGTATAAGACCTGTCCACTGAAAACCATGAGACATCGTTGAAAGAAATTAAAGACCCAAATGAACGGAAAGACATTTCAGGTTTGTGGATTGGAATACTTAATGTTGTGAAGATGGCAGTACTCCCCAAAGTCATCTACAGATTCTTTGAAATTCCTGTCAAAATCCCAGCTGCCTTTTTCTGCCAAAATTGACAGCTGATCTTTAAATTCTTGTGGAAAGTGAAGGGATTCAGAATATCCAAAAGAATCTCAAAAAAGAACAAAGTTAGAGGATTCACATTTCCTGATACCACAACTTTACTATACAGCCACAATAATCAAGACTGTGTGGTGCTGGCTAGGAGAGACATATAGATGAATGAAATAGCACTGAAAGTTCAGCAACAAACCCTTACATTTGTGGTCAGTTGATTATTGATGAGGGAGCCAAGACAATTCAATGGGGAAAGGACAGTCTACAATAAGTGGTGCTGAGACAGCATGAGATATTCACATGCAAAAGAATGAAGTTGTACCCCATCTTCATACCACATACAAAAACTAACTCAAAATGGATCATAGCCCCAAACATTGAAGTTAAAACTATGAAACTCTTAAGTGAAAACACCGACATAAATCTCCATGACCTTGGATTAGGTGATGATGTATTAGATATGACACCAAAAGCACAAAACAACAAAATTTTAAAAAATAGATAAATTGAACTACATCAATATTAAAAAACATTTGTGCTTCAAAGCACACTATCAAGAAGGTGAAATGACAATCCGTAGTTGGGAGAAAATATTTGCAAATTATCTCTCTGGTAAGGAACTAGTACCCACAACGTATGGAGAACTCTTACAATGGAACAACAAAAGACAACTCAATTTTTTAAATGGGCAAAGAATCTGAATAGACATTTCTCCAAAGATATACCTACAGCAATAAGCACATGAAAAGGTGCGCAACATCACTAGCCATTAGTGAAATAGAAATCAACACCATGAGGATGGTTATTTAAAAAGACAGTAAATAACAAGGATGTGGAGAAATTGGAGCCCTCATATATTGCTGGTGGGGATGTAAAGTGGTGCATCCATGAGGGAAAACAGTTTGGTGGTTTCTTAAAAAGCTAAGCTTAGAATTACCATGCAACCCAGCAATTCCTCTCCTAAGTATGTTCCTAGAACTGAAAACTTGTTCACACAAAAACTTGTTCACAAATGTTCCCATCAGCATTATTCATGATAGCCCCAAAATGGAAACAACCCAAATCCATCAGCTGATGAATGGATAATAAAAATGTGGTATATCCATAACATGGGCTATTAATTGGCCATAAAAGGAATGAAGAATTGGCTCATGCTTCCGTGTGGCTGAACCTTGTAAACGTTATGTTAAGTGAAAGGAGCCAGACATAAAAGGCCAGCTAAGACACGATTCCATTTATGTGAAATGGCTGTCTTAATATGTCCGTAAGAGTTCATAAGAACATTGAATATTCATAAGAAGAATATGTTCAAGAATTCAGGTACATGTGAGAAAAGAAGGATAAATGCTTCTGTGATCCTTGGCCTTCAACCAAATGAAGAGTCTATAAATGTCGCTAAGAAGAATCTATTCACTTGAGACAAACTTCTGGCACGCCAGTAAACTTGGGAAATCTGAGGAACAGGTCTTTTGGCAAACTGACCTAGGGCAGTCATTCCCAAACTTCAGCTTGTGTGGGGCCCATTAAACTCAAGAATCCCGGGCCCCACCTCTAGAGTTTCTGGTCCAGTAGGTTGGGGGGTGGGGCCCAAGAATCTGCATTTCCAGCAGCTCCAGGTGAGGCTGCGGCTGCTGGTCTGGGAGCGTGCTTTGACACCAGCTGCGCCAGCGCAGTGCCTGGCAGGCAGAATATGGTCTGTGCTGAATAAACAGAGGTTCGTGGAAGGAATAGATGGCAGCTGGACGGGCCTTGCACTGGCCTCCAGAACCCTAAAGCCCATTGTCCAGAACCCTGCTGCGTGTAACTGAAGCCCACTGTCCAGGGTCCTGCTGCCCCCTGCCTGCCTCAGGCCCCCTCTGCGCCCAGGCCACATCCTGTAAGGCCCAGGAACAAGGGCCAGACTCCAGTGGCCAGGGCATGCAGAGGAGGCTGAGGAGGTTCAGGGCCACCTGTGTCTCCAGGCCACTGACCAGCCCAGCATTTGACCTTGCGTCTCCAGACAGAGTCAGAGATCTGAACTGCCGGACATGTCCCAGGAACGACACCGTCATCAGAAAAGGAGCTGACAGGAGAGGGCAGCAATGTTGGCTGGTCATGCTGGTGCAGGGAGACCCAGGCTGGGTGTGGCCTGAGTCTAGCAGCAACCATGGGGAGCTCCGCTGGTGCCACACCAGGCAGGGCAGGGCCAGGCAACCCATGAGAGGAGGCCAGGCCTTCTCGCCGTGTTGCAGATGAGACGTGTCCCTTTCCTGGGAACTGTGGCTGGGGACTGAGGAAGAACTGGTGCTCAGCAGCCTGTGTTCTGTGGGCAGGGGGTGGAGGGGCAGTTGCAGTGACTGAGAAGCCGACCCAGGCCTGTCTCCGCCCCAGGGCCCTGCTACTCGGAGGCTCCCAGCCTTCCGGAAACGCCAGCCCTTGCATAAGGCCTCTCATTTCCTGGCCAGACCACAGCCTGCTGGAAAGTGGGTACCATAACAGCCCCCAGGGGCCAGTGGGTAGAAGGGAAAAGGGAGCAGGTACCAGAGAGAGGCTCAGAATAGCTGTGGCCAGTGATTACAGGGCTGGGCCGCCTCCATCCAGCCCCACCCTGCCTGCCACCCTGCCCCGAGGAGCCTGGGCCCTGCAGACGGGCAGGCTGCCATGGAGGGACAGATGGGCACAGGAGGTCAGAAGGGGGGTATCTTGAGGATCCTTGGGTCCAATCCTGACTTGGCCAGCTGGGGGCTGGCCCCAAACAGGGCCACACTGGGGCATCCACCCCCTCCACCCCCATCATCCCAAACTCCCTTGTCTGTGTCCTCTGTACCCCCGTCCCTCCACTGGGCCCTAGGTCCCAGGCTCCCTGCCACCCCCTGCCAAGGGGACAGAGGAGCAGACAGAACAGGGAGAGCCAGGCAGTGTAGCCCAGGAGGGCCCATCCCAGAGCAGCACAGGGAAAGCCACGCGGTGACTGCTTAGAAAAAGGAAACAAAACCAGCAGGAGGTTAGGGAGACAGGGGAGAGAAGGGGGACAGGATGATGGGAGGGGAGGAGGGATGGGAGGAGTGCCAAAAACAATGACAGAGACAGGGAGACAGTGATGGACGACAGGGCCCGAGGCTGGGAGAAAGAGAAGGAAGAGACAGAAGGAGACAAAGCATGGTGGGGACTGCAGGCCCCAGCACAGTGCCGGGTGCTTAGTGCACACTGACATGCTTACCCCTCTCATGTAGAAACTATCTTTATCCCACTTGACAGAGGGGGAAACTGAGGCAAAGAAACTTGCCCGAGGCCTCACAGCTTCCTTGCTGTGCCAGAAACAGAATTTGACCCCAGGCCACCGGTGCCAGCATCTGCACCCTTAACACCCATGCTGCCCTGCCTCTGGGTGCCCCCTTGTCCTGACACCTGTCCCCCCTTGCGGCATCCGTAGGCAAGTGGGCCCCATTTCACTGACCCATGAGGAAATACCAGCCCAGGGAAGGAGAGCAGAGAGAGCTGCTCAAGGCCATGCGATTGCTGCACACAGGACACCCGCACACGTCATGTTGCAAGGCCTCCTCTGCCAATCAAGATACCGGGTGAAACACCACACTAGAAACCTACAGCAGAAGCACGACCATCCTCCTCTGCACACCCACCTCAGCCAAAGCAGGGCTCGCGCCCTGTGCAGGGTGAGGGCACAGCCATCATGTAGGGGGATGCTGTTTGCAGACTCCCTAGTCCAGCAAGCAGAGATGATGACACTCGGCTTCTGGTTAATAAGTTCCAGCAGGTTACAGTGTTGCAAGAGGAGATAAGCAGGGCAGCCAGGCCCCAGCAAGCTCCTGCCAGCAGGCATAGGTTCCCACGTGGCCTCCGAGGGCCTCTGTCCTGCCCCATTCCTTCCCCTAGGGGCTTTCTGGGGTGACCTGCATGTCTCAGAGTCAGGGACATTCCTTCTGGGGATCAGGCCCAAGGGAAGGACACATTGGACAAGCCCTTCATGTATTATTATAAGCAATTCTGTTTAGGGGAGAGAACTAGAGATCTCTCCACGTGTATTTAGTTCAAACTCCATTTGCTGAACTCCACAGGCCATCTAGAATGGAACCCCAGTCTGCCCAGATCCCCCTTGAGCACAGTCCTGTCGGCTGTGCCTCCAGAACCCTCCGGACCCCACTTCCACCTTCCCTGCCCATGGCCAGCCCCGGGTAGGCCCCAGGGCTCTCCCTGGAACAATTACCAAGACTGGAAGGAGACACCTCACCTATCTCCTATTTCTCCTCGCCCCACCTTGGTGATCTCTAAACCCACAGGGCTTCTCACTCCTTGCAGCAATCCCTGGTTCCCCCCAAGGCCCACCAGTGCACTACCACCCTTCCTGGTTCACTGCTCAGCTCCAGCCACGGCACTCTTTATTGCTGAAATCTTTTGAGTTCTGTGTAGGTTGATCACTCTGGAAGGTCAGATCTACATGGAAGGGGACTTTTTGCTTTTCTGTAACCCCTGCAACCTTGCCCAGTGCCAGTGACTATTTATTTAAAGACTGATGCCCTCTGACAGCCATAGGAAGAGCACCCCAGCCCCTAGCATCCCATTCAAGACTATTCATGACTGAGCCCCAACTTAGAGTATCTTCCTGCCTTCCATCCCACCATTCTCTCTCAAGGACCCAGAGCCCCACCCACAGCACATCCATTCACACCCCAGGCCATTTCACTCCTCCATGCTTTTCTCTGTGCCATTCCTTCTGCTTGCAGTTTCCTCTCCTCCTTTTCCTACCTGTTAAACTCCTATGCAGCTTTCAAAGCCCAACACAAATGCCCCTGCCCTGTAGAATGGAAAGAAAAAGGATTTGGGGTTTCAGCTGGGATTTAAATCCTGGCCCCATACTTCCTGACTTGAGCAAGTAACTTCCTCTCTCTTGATCTTTTCTTTTCTGCAAAATAGGATTGCCAATTCCTGTTCTGCAGAGCCACCCACCTGCCAGCTTGCCTCTTCTCACGGTACTTTCTGGAGGTCCTCTGAACTCGGGACACTCCAGCAGTACCTGAAGATGGACAGCAGCATGGGGAGCATCTACCAATTTGGCTCCAGCAGCCACTTCCCCTCCCTTTGCCCACCCACCAGAGGAGGATGCCTGCCAGGCCTTCAGCCCATGTGATTCCGATAGGCTCCCCTACGCCTCCACCACCTGCTGGGATAGGCATGTGGCCTAGGCCTGTCCAATCACAGCCTCCCAGCCCTTCCTGCCACCTGACTGGCTCAGAGACGGGCACTTGAGACCCAGACCGGGCCAATGGATGCCTCCTTGGGACTTTGGCTGGAATCAGTGGCAAAGGAACCCTCTCTAGCTTTGGGTTGGAGTTGCTGAACTGGTGCAGCTGAGAGTGAGGCTATGGCAGAGAAAAGCTAAACCACAGCTGGAGGTGTGATCTGAACCCCAAGATCTATGCCTGTCCGAGGCAGAGGCACCTGGCCTTTTCAGTCACAGGCACAGACCCACTCCCTCCCAGCTGAAGGGAGTCTGAATTGGGTTGGGTTTGTCCTCGCCGAGGCTACCACTGTGTGCCATTGGGTGGCCCACAGTCTTAGCTTCCTTGCCTGCCTAGGGGTGAGCAGGGGCTGGGATGGGATGCAGAGGCCCACCTGGCTCCAAGAGGAACACCTGTGACTCCAAACACTGGGACAGATGCTCAGCCCTGCAGCCGCGGGAGTGGAATAGGGGAAGGGGGCTGGTGCCAACACTGCTCCCGCCGGTGTCTCAGAGGCAGAAGACATAGAGCTGAGATCTTGGGTTTTCATATTAAAAATGTAAGCTCCTCGAGGCAGGGGTATTTCTAAGTTTTGTTCCCCACTGTCTCCCAGTACCTGCACGAGCAGACAACCAACAGGTCCGTGGTCCGTGGTGTGCCAGCCACGGGAAGCATGGTCACCATGCCCAGGCAAAAACACAGAGGGAGCCAAGGGGGCCGCAGGAGACCCAGGGGTCTGCCATTGGGAGCTGCCGCTGGGCACTGGGGATGAGGGTGGGGTGATGAGGGCAGCAGTGCTCTGGGCAGCTGCCCCACCTTCCTGGAATCTCCTCCTCCCTGGGACCCTAAGCAGTAGGCCAGTGCAGGTGGTGGAGCCCTGGGGCTGAGGCTGTGGCTGTGGAGGGGCTGCCGCAGACCTCCCCCTACTAGAATGTCTCTGAGCTCCCTGGGGTAGCAAGAGCCCCAGGCCTGAGCCAGTAGCCCTTCAGTGGCCCCTTGCCCAACTTACGGCAGCACCTCTGGCTCTGGAGAAGGAGGGGACAGTGCTGGGCCTCTTGCTCTGGAGAAGGAGGGGACAGTGCTGGGCCTGCCCTCCTGGGAGAAGGGGCTGAAATCCCTCCTGAGTTCTGGAGCCCTCATCCCCAGGCCAGAAGCCCTCACAGGGCACAGACCACATCCCTTCCAACTCAGGCATGGCTGCAGAGACACTGCAGGCCCTCGTGAGGCCATTTCCAGAGGCCAAGGGCAGGGGATGCCCCTCCAGCAGGACTAGCCTGGCAGGAAAAGGCCTTTCCCAGCTGAGTGCCCTCCCTGTGTGCCACCTGCAGGCCCACAAGCATAGTCTCAGCCAAAGCTTCAGCTCAGGGCTTGGGAGAGAGAAAAGCCAGTGTGAGAGGCTGGATAGGTTGGTCTGATTAACTCTTGCTCGCCCAAGGTCACTCACAAAGCTGTGATGGCTGGAGACAGGCCATGGGAGAGGTACAAGAGCGCTTGACAGAAACAGAGAGAGATGCTGAGATGCTGGGTGAGGTCATGGCCAAGAGCAGGACAGGCCAGGTGGAGAGCCCAGCCTGCGCAGAGGCTGGGAAGGGAGGTTCGGAGCCGTCCTCCTAACACCTGCTGTCTCTTCCCAGGCTCTGCAGGAGAGGGAGGGAGGTCAGAAGGAACAAAGCCCAGAAGGTGACTAGTACCTTGGTTTGTTTCTCATCCCTCAAACCTGGGTAGAGTAGGTGACAGGAGAGAGGTGTCCCACGGAGACATGGGGACGCAGACACTCCATGCAGTCACTCAAAGATGTATGCTCCTTTGCAGACACTCCCCGGGACCCAGGCACTCAGGTGTCCTCTAACATCCCACGCTGAGCCCTGAGGGGCCAGTAGCCACCAAGTTCTGCCCTGTCTTAGTACTGGGTAAACATCTGTCTACTGAATGACTCGGTGGACAGAGGCTGTGGCAGCCACAGACACTGAGTCCACACCCCAGACTGCCAGGAGATTGTCTGCTCAACACCACCAGACAGCTCACAGAAGGGGTTGTGGGGGTGCTGGAAAGAGACACCCCAGCCCTATCCCATGGGCTTGGGGAGGCATCCAGGTCTGACCTGCTGTGTCTGGACACACAAGGGGCAAGGGGCAGTGTGAGGGTCAGGGGGAGTGGGCAGAGGCCTCCCCAGGCCCTGATATCCTCAAGTCTTGGGCCACTCCCACCCCCACTGCCCAACATCCCCGCCCACCCTGGACCTAGTTACTTACTCCCTGGGACTGTGTCTGCCAGGTTCCAAGGGTGGGGCCCAGGATTCTCAGAGCCCACACTGGGGGTGGGGAGGCGGACTGAGTCGTCCCACCCAGCACGCATACCACATACAAGGAAAGGCAAACAGCCCTGAGGTCAGGAGACCCGGGCGCTGGCTGGGCCCCTCCAGTCCCAAGTAGATTGTATAGCCAGCACGTTGCCACCACACCTGTCTCCCCACTCTCTGGCCCGCTTCAGATTGTGTGAAATGGGTTGATGGGAGGCTTCACATGAGCTGAGGAGAGACTCAGAGCAAAGACTCAGCACCGGTGGAGCCCAGGGCACTCAGCTCTGCGGAGTCATGACTAACTGCCTCAGTTTCCCCAGCCAGACCACGAGTGGGTGCACAGGAGTCCCAAGCCCTACCCAGTGTGGATTTCAGGGTGGAGCAGGGAGTGGCACCCACTGCACAGTAGGACAACCAAGGGACCGGACCGAGTGGCCCAAGCTTCCCCTCCTATGCGCATGCGCCCAGCAGCGCTCATGTCCAGGGGCCGTGGGGTGCGCAGGGGAAGGGGGTGAAGGTAAGGGAGATGGCCTTCCCGGATTGGCCAATTGTCCTCTACCCCCCACAACTGACCCCGGTCTCCAGGCACCGGCTGTGGGACTCAAAACAGTCACCGCTCTGGGAGTGGGGAGGTAACTCCGGAGGAGGAGCAAGAGCCTTTGCTCGCGGGGGCGTCTAGAGCCTTTCTGTGCCTCACCAGCGCCCCTGCCCGCCACCCCTAGCCCCAGCCAGGAAGGAGACAACAGGTGTCCCCCGCGCTGTCGAGGGGTCAGGCCGCGGTGGAAAGCGCGAGGAGCCAGGTTTGGTTGGGGGTGCGCGGCTCGGCCGGCGGGCACTCACCCGGGCGCAGGGAGCGGGGCGCGGCGCATAGGAGCAGGAGCGCGGCGCCCAGACAGGCGGCCGCCAGCACGCGCCGCCGGCAGCAGCGCCTCCCCATGCTGTGCCGGGCGCGCGGCGGAGGACAGTCCGCTGGATACGGCTGGGGGCGGAGTTGCACTGGCCCAGGACCCGGCCCCGGCAGCGCAGCGCCTACCAAGACGCGCGGCGCGGCGCAGGGCAGGGGAGCACGGCAGCTGGACCCCAGCCCCACCAGCCCCTGCGAGTCGCTGGGGACTGAGGAGGCGGGACACGGTGGGGCCGCAAGCCCGCTCCTCTTTTCGTGCCCCCACCCTCACCCAATGGAATGGGGCCGAAGTCCAGGGCGCTAGGGCGGAGACTGATTGGGGAAGCCCCTCGCCTCTGGGCCCCGCCCCTAGGGTTTGCCCAGGGGTGCCATTATCCACCCAAGGCCAAGAGGCATTGTCGCGGTGGCGTGCCCCACCCCGGGCGGTGTCCCCTTGCCTTTTTGCTGCCTTAGATGCCAGGGGCCCAAGGGCTGATCTGGGATGAACCAAGGAGCCTAGTAGAGCGTTGCCCTGTCCATGGCTCTCCGGGACCCCCGCCCTCAGTAAGAGGCCTAAGAGTGTCCCTCCCTCCCCGACCCAAGGCTACCCTGCAGCCTTGCTTTCCTCCAGGGTCTCCAGGTCCTGCCTGAATCTAGCTCATGCAGGTGGCACTAGCCTTTGCACAGAGAGGTAGGGTCTCAGCTTACATCCCCCGGGGAATGGAGCTTGTGCCTCATCGTGTCACCCACAACTTCTCTGGGCACCACGTGAGCTCTGAGGACTTGCCAGGGACTGTGTGTGTGTGTGTGTGTGTGTGTGTGTGTGTGTGTGTTGGGGGGTGGAGGGGGCGAGGTGAGAGTAAAGTCCAGCCTTTGAAAGACACACACATCCAGCTAGCCCTGTGGGCAGGAGCCCACGTCTAACCGCAGGGTCTTGCTGCCCAGAAGTCAGGCTAGCAGGGAACGGGAGGGTGCAGCTGGCACTGGGTGCGCGGATGAGTGCGTTGGAAACAACATTTAGCAGTGTGAGTGCATGGGATAGGGTACTACATTACACTGTAGGTTTTTTTTGGAGTTTTTTGTATAAATGTAAGGGACACAAGTGCAGGTTTGTTACATGGAGATATGCAGTGGTGAGGTCTGGGCTTTCCGTGTAACCATCACCTAAATAATGTCCATTGTACCCATTAAGTAATTCCTCATCCCTCCCACCTCGCTCACTCTCCTACCCTTCCAAGTCTCCAGTGTCTATTATTCCACACTCGAAGCTCCAGTTGTTAAACTGTTCTTGAAAAATGTGGTGACTCCAAACCCACCTGGTGCCGCTTACTGCTGTGGGAGATTAGGAAATTAACTGCACCTCTCTGTTTCCCATTTTCCTGTACGGGGGGATAATCCTAAACCTCAGTGCTGTGAAGATTAAATGAGATACAGGAAATGTTTGCAACAGTGTCTGGCACTCAGTGAGTGCCAGGTAAGTATTTGATATTAGTAATTAATTTGTTTATGGTTACTGCCTGTTTCTGGCAAGTGGCTGGTTTCTGTTAAAGTGGTGAAATAAAAATTTCTCCCTACTATATTTATTTAAGTTGTGGAAGATCTATTTAAGGAAGAATATTAAGCAAATAATAGTTCTGCTGGTTTTGAGATACAGCTTTAAATGGTGATGATGTTCTCAAAGGACAGGGGTGGGAGTCCAGACTCACAGTAAGCTAGAAGCTTCTTATCATGACTTTTCTGGCCTTGGGGAACCTCTAGCCCACCCCCAGACTGGCCCAGGACCCAGGGATTCCAGGTCATCTGCATTCCCTGCCGGACCTAACTCGCATCCAAAGGTGCCTTCCAAATTTCCCCAGACCGGCATTCCCTGGCCTCACTGCCAGCCTGGAATCCTCAGCGCGCTTTGCCCTTATATGCTGCCACCTGGTGGCCAAAGTTGGGAATAACATCTCAGCCCTTCATCCGGAGATGTCCCTGGAAATGGGGTCCCTGGAGAAAGGAAGAGATGGTCTTGGGTCTTGGGGTGGGAGGGTGCAGATGCCTGGCTAGACGCCCGGGGCCTAGGGAGCTTCCCTGCGAAGACGCCCTCTCCCAGGGACTCGCATTCATTCATTCATTCGACAGATACAGAACACCCACTCCGTGCTGAGGCCTGGGTGGAGAGGGTGAGACCCATGCAGTGTCTGCCCTCACAGCATTTCCATTACAGATTGGAAGCACGGAAAATCAGGATAGAGAGATAGAGCGGTGAATGCTGCTGTGAAGAAAACACAGCGGGTACCAGGATGAAAAGTGTGTCCGGTGCAAGGAGGGTGCCGGGGCAGGCCTGGGGGAGGTGGCATTGGAGCAGAGATGTGACTCCAGGGAGCAGAAGCCAGCAGGTACCATTGCAAAGGCCCTGAGGTGATGTTCCAGTTGCTGTTGCTAGGTAACAAACTGCCCTAAAATTTGGCCGCTTAAGACAACCATTTAAATTTTGCTCACAATTTTGTGTATTGGGAATTGGGGCATGGGCTTGGCTGAGTGCTCATGGGAGTCTCAGGCTGCCACAGTCAGAAGGCAGCTGGCACTGCATCACTGGGAGGCTCACCCAGGCCCAGTGTCCCACTGGCTCACACTGGCAGGTGGTGTCCGTCTGGAAGCTCTGCTGGGCAGCGATCCAAGGATCCCCTCAGGGCACCCTTCATTCTGGGGGCCTCCTGGGGCACCCTCCAGCCCTCGGGGCACCCTCTGGCCTGGGGTCCTCCTGGGGGCAGCCTCCATTCTGGGGGTCTCCTTGGGCCACCCTCTGGCCTCCAGACATCCTCGGGGCACCCTCCAGCCTGGGGCCCGGTGTGCTGCTCCCACAGAGCCTGGCTGTGTGGCCATTTTCTGACCTGGCCTGGGGCTGCCTTTTGTTGGTTACCCAAAGATCGCTGAGGCTGGACCAGACTCAGGAGTGGGGCCACACCCACCAGCAGTGCCCAGGAATTTGCGGGCATGTTTTAGAACCACCACCGCCTGTCCCAGGAATAGCAGGGAGGTTCTGGAGTGGGCGAGAGTGAATGGGTGAAGTCAGAGAGGCAGACAGGGAGTCCAGATCCCATGGGTGGGTTTTTCTAAGCACAGAGGGAAGCCGTCCCTGAAGAACAGTTGAATCACAGATGGCACCTCTGCTGCTCTGTGGGAGGCAGGGAGGAGGTGGAGGCCAGGAGAGGAGCCAGAGCTGTCTCTGTGAGAGATGATGCTTTTTTTTTTTTCATGGAGGAAACCGTTAGAAAAATAATACTTCATCTTGTCTGGCACGTATTCTGTGCAAGGCACTATTCTAAGCCCTTCATGTGTGTTATCTCATGTGATCCTCAGATGCATCCTATGAGGTATATAATAGACTTTCATTTTACAGATGAGGAAACTGAGGCAATGAGAGGCTCAGTAACTTACCCAAGGACACAGCTAGAGAGTGATGTAGCCAGGGTTGTTTGAAACTAGCAGTCTGCCATATTTAACTTCTGTGAGATCTTCATTCTCTCTCTCTTTTTTTTTTTTTTTTTTTTTTTGATCTTTTGCCTAGACTGGAGTGAAGTGGCACAGTCTCGGCTCACTGCAACCTCCGCCTCCTGGGTACAAGGAATTCTCCTGCCTCAGCCTCTCGAGTAGCCAGATTACAGGTGCCCACCACCATGCCCGGCTAATTTTGTCTTTTTAGTAGAGACGGGGTTTTGCCATATTGCCCAAGCTGGTCTTGCACTCCTGACCTCAGGTTATCCTCCCGCCTCAGCCTCCCAAAATGCTGGGATTACAGGCATGAGCCACCGCGTCCAGCCAAGATCTTTGTGCTTTTAAATAGTTAGGCAATGTTTGTTTGCTTTTAATTAAACTATTCTGGGGTCACTAGATTTGTGTGCAGTTGTAAGGAAGAAAGATCCCATGTCCCCTTTACCCACTTTCCCCCAGTGCTAAGATCTTGCAGAACCACACTGCAGTAGCCCAGTGGGGATGTGACATGGACGCCATCCACACGACTTCTGCACAATGTTCACCTTTTCACAAATTGGTTGCTGATGTTTAAAACTCAGGAGATTTCAGAAAACCTGCTGGATTTCTGGCTGCTCTTGAGCCATGAGACGTGGGGCGTCCTGTGCAGTGGGCCCTGAGACCAGGTCTTGGTGCAGTTTGTTAAGGGTCTGTCTGTTGGGGAGTGCATAGTGAGCTGGGCAGGGGAAGCAACTGACCGAGGTACAATCTCCCCACCCTGAGGGGCAAGGGACCTGGGTGCTTAGGGGCTGTTCCCTGGGCAGGTGGGGAGGGGCTGCTAATTCTCCATCCCTTCCAGCTGCCCTCTGAGTGGGAAGAAGACACTCAGGGTCACCAGAAGACACCCTTGAGAAGACAGCCGAAGGTGCTGGCCGCTGGCGTCCAGGCTGCACAACTTCTGTCTTGTGCACTCTGTTCCCAGGGCCTGCAACAGCACCTGTCATAAGAAGGATTGAGTGTGGGATGCTTAAGCCTGAGCACCTTTCTGCATGCTCTGTCCCAGGTGGCCCTGGCTGGTGAGGAGCAGAGATGCCACAGGCCCAGTATGAGAACAAACCTTGTCCTTCTTCATTCACACAACACAACACAACACGCCCCAGTCACCAAAGTACATGTGGGCTTTTTCCAGCAGCCAGCTTTTCAGCTGGGTGTCTCCTCCAGCTAGGTGTCCCAGTCAGCTCAACTCTGACACCACCTGCTGGGGATGGCATGAGATCCCACAGGTTGAGGGCTCAGTCCCACAAGATCGCCCCCAACTTCAGATGCTGCAAGCACAGGTTGTGGTCTGTGGACTGTGGTTCTGACCACAGTCTGGCTATAAACTGGGGATTCCAGGGTTCATTTAATTTGCTACTGTGGCTCACAAAACTCAGAGAAACCCTTTATTATTGATGTGTACTGGTTTCTTATAAAGGACATTACGAAGAATATAGATGAACAGCCAGATGGACAAGATGCCCAGGATGAGGTGTGGGGAAGATGCACAGAGCTTCTGTGCCTTCTCTGGGCATGACCCTCTCCAGGAATCTGCCTGTGCTCAGCTGCTGGGAAGCTCTTCTGAACCCTGTCCTTTTGGGTTTTTAGGGAGGCTTCATGACCTACACAACTGACTAAATCATTGGCCTTTGGTGATCAACTCAGCCTTCAGCTTCTCTCTCCTCCCCAAAGTCAGGAGGCTGCTGAAGGTTCCAACCCTCTAATCACAGGTTGGTTCCCTTGTCAACCAGCCCCAATCCTGAGGATATCAGGGATCTGCCAAGAGTCCCCTCGGTAGAACAAAAGAGCTCTGCTCCTGTCACCCAGGAAATTCCAACAGCTTTAGGAGCTCTGTGTCAGGAACCAGGGTCAAAGATCAAACGTTAGAACAAAAGATTCTCCTAGAGTTTCCATCTACCAGGGCCTCAGGAGCTTTGTGGCAGGAACAGGGAAGAGATCAAAGCCTGTTTCTTATTCTATCACAGTCTCACATCACCCCCATTAAGGGCGCCCTCCCTGTGCTGCAAAAGGGCCAGCGTGGATGGGAGGGTGCTAGAGCCAGACCTCTGGGTCCTCAGGGCTCCAATCTCAGCTCCCCCCATGACTGGCTGTGTAACCCTGGGCAAGTCCCATCCCTCTCTCCACCTGTTTCTTCATCCTTAAAATGGGGGCAACGAACCCCTCAGGGCTGACCCACAGGATGCTCTCAGAGGAGCAAGCACTCAGAAGGCAGCTGGGCTTCCACGTGCGGGCCCTGCACTGGGGCTTGCCTAACGGCACTCCACCGCCTTGCAGCTGAGCTGTCCATCGCCACCCACTTGTGTAGACAGGACATGGCCAAAGGCCACAGGGCTGGTCAGGCTCGCACTGGGTACACCCAGGTGTGTTGCTTCCCCCGGACTGCTGGAATTCAGCTTCGGCCACTTCTTGGCTGTGTGAGGGAGACCCGGGCCTTGGTTTCTCCATCCATAGCATAGGGCTCATGAAGAGTGCTTTCTGGCAGAGTTGTTAACAGATTTGGGAATGAGGGTCATCCCTCAGGCAGGTCCTTCAAAAAGAGCTTTGGGAGGGGGTAGAGTGGTGTGCCCCCCAGCGGGAGCTGAAGAGAGCACACTTGCCACTGAGGGCCCCCACTGCACCTGTCACCCAGCCCTCCAGTGGGGAGCCAAGGAGGGCACACCTGCTGCTGGGTGCTCCCGCTCCACCTGTCACCCCACCCCCCAGCAGGAGGTAGCAGGAGGAGGGGCTCTACACTCTGTGTCCGGTTCAGTGTCACATGGCTTCCCATCTCCTCATCATCAAGATGCAGATCCCCACATCGAATGTTTGGTGTGGTGCACCAGAGGGCTGCCACAGCACACCCCAGCATTAGAGCCCCACCCACCCCCAAAGCTGTCCCGGACAGCACAGCCCTCCTGGAAGGGGAAGTGAGCCCAGCCCCCCTCCCCACTGTGAAGCCTGCCCTCCCGCAGAGCAATGTCCTCCCCAGGTCAGCGCTGCAAGTGCCCTACCTGAGGCCAGTGACCCTCCGACCTGCACATGGCTCCCTGCACAGGCCAGGCGCCCAATGAGAGGCTGGAGGAGGTGGCCCTGGGGCTAGAGGTCCCTGCCCTATCTGCCCAGTCTCTTCCTGGCCTCCCCACAGTGCTGGCCTCTGCCTCCATCTCAGTCACACATGTCTAGCCTCCAGGCGCTGTGCTCTGGCCTGCCCCTGCGGCCCCTCCCAGAGAACCGGGGACGCCAGGCTGGGGTGCCCCATGCCCCTGTCAGGACCCCCAGCCTCAGCCCTGTGGAGAAACAGGTAAGCAGTGGGCCCGTGCTCCCGAGGCCTTGGCCTCTAGGCATCCTCCAGGTGGTCCATAGTGAGCACCCAGGCTTCCTGCCCTCTTAGTGGGAGCTGCTCAGCCGCCCACCCTGGACTCCAGGGGCTCCAGCCTGTGCGGGTGCAATGCACAGTGGACTCTGTCTCTTGGATGCAGCCGCCCTTGGGTGCAGGATCGCCGTGCCTGTTTACAGATGAGGACCCTGAGGCTCAAGGTCAGCAGCCGGTCACTGGTGGCACTTTGGCCACCTCCAGTGGGAGGAGGCCTTGGGTGGGTGTGAAGTGTCCCACACCAAGCGCCGCGTCCACCCCAACACTCAGAACGTTTGCACACAGGTCAGCTCTTATTTTCATTTGCAAATGTCCCTCCCGCAAATCTCTGGAGAACGTGCGGCTGCATGGCTGAACCCTGTAGCTGGCAGGCAGTTGCCAGGGAAAGATGGGCTGAGGCCAGTATCCCCTCATCTAACAGCAAAGCAGTCCAGGGATGGTGCACGCTTGCCAGTGGTGCCCTGTCTGGGAACCTCCCTTTTGTCATTTGTCAGCTTGAGATGAAAATGGTGACACCAGGGGGTTGTGGAGAAGAGTAATGAAATAAAGTAGGTGACACGGTTATATAGACTTTCCTCCTACTTTTTACTGGAAACTACTCAAGATTTTCAGAAACAGTAGAGAAGTGGAAACTGCAAACAAGCATAAAGATTAAAAGAGGAATCCTACCTCCCCAGGTAAAGATGGCTGCCCTTTGCACCGGAGCCCACTGGACTTTTCTGGAGCCACCCACAGAGGCCTAACAGGACACAGTGGGGACAGTAGGGGTCACTCAGGGCAGAGCTGGCGCTGGGGAAGGGAGAAAGGGGAAGCAGGTTGGTGGGTGTGGGGGTGGAGGGGAGTTGGGGGGCTAGGAGGATGCTGGGGGTCCTTGTGGGAGTGGGGCACTGGGGGCAGGTGGAGCGGGTGCTGGAGGGAAAGGGAAATGGGGGAGGGGCCAGCAAGGTAGAGTAGGTAGTGGGCACTGGGGGGAGGGGGGAGGGTAGGTGGTGGGCACTGGGGGGTGGGAGGGTAGGTGGTGAGTTCTGGGGTGGGGGGATGGTAGGTGGTGGGTGCTGGGTGATGAGGGGGAGGGTAGGTGGTGGGTGCTGGGGTGATGAGGGTGAGGGTAGGTGGTGGGCGCTGGGGGTGGGAGGAGGCTAGTTGGTGGGTGCTGGGGGACGAGGGGGAAGGTAGGTGGTGGGTGCTGGGGTGACAAGGGGATGGGTAGGTGGTGGGCACTGGGGGGTGGGGGACATTAGGTGGTGGGTGCTGGGGTGATGAGGGGGTGGGTAGGTGGTGGGCGCTGGGGGGCAGGGGACAGTAGGTGGTGGGTGCTGGGAGTTGGGAGGATAGGTGGTGGGTGCTGGGGTGAGGAGGGGGTGGGTAGGTGGTGGGCGCTGGGGGGCAGGGGACAGTAGGTGGTGGGTGCTGGGAGTTGGGAGGATAGGTGGTGGGTGCTGGGGTGAGGAGGGGGTGGGTAGGTGGTAGGCGCTGGGGGACAGGAGGAGGGTAGATGACAGGCACTTGGAGACAGTGAGGGTAGGTGGTGGACATTGGGGGGCGGAGAGGGTAGGTGTCAGGTGCTGGGGGACAAGGGAGGGTAGGTGGTGGGTGTTGGGGGTGGGGGAGGGTAAGTGTTGGGTGCTGGGGGTGGGGGGAGGGTAGGTGGTGGGCACTGGGGGTTGGGGAGAGGGTAGGTGGTGGGTGCTGGGCAGATGAGGGGGAGGGTAGGTGGTGGGTGCTGGGGGTTGGGGGAGGGTAAGTGGTGGGTGCTGGGGGTTGGGGAGAGGGTAGGTGGTGGGTGCTGGGCAGATGAGGGGGAGGGTAGGTGGTGGGTGCTGGGGGTTGGGGGAGGGTAAGTGGTGGGTGCTGGGGGTTAGGGGGAGGGTAGGTGGTGGGTGCTGGGGGTTGGGGGATGGTAGGTGGTGGGTGCTGGGCAGATGGGAGGAGGGTAGGTGGTGGGTGCTGGGGAGTGGAAGGGGGTAGGTGGTGGGTGCTGGGCAGATGGGAGGAGGGTAGGTGGTGGGTACTGGGGAGTGGAAGGGGTAGGTGGTAGGTGCTGGGAGACAGGGAGAGGGTAGGTGGTGGGCACTGGGGGCAGGGGAGGGTAGGTGTTGGGTGCTGGGGAGGCTGGTAAGTGGTGGGTCCTGGACGGGGGCGGGTAGGTGGTGGGTACTCAGGGGCAGATTGCAAGCAGGTGGTCCTGCCCCTTTGCTCCCCTTGGCCCATCTCCCAGTTGTCCAGGTGTTGTTAATGTTTCCTCCCTTTGATCACCTCCCTGCTGGGCGCCAATGCCTCAAACTTCACCCCGGAGCTCAGGGAGGGCCCTGCGGCCTGCACATCCCCTGCGGCGCCCTGTGGCTGTGATCAGCTCCCTGTGGCTGTGATCAGCTCCCGGGGTGTCTTGTGTTGGGAGAAGGTGGCTCCAGGTGGAGGAGTGGCCACCTGGGCTTTGCTGGGTTATGTCCTTTGCTTGAATGTCAGGACACCCTTGGAGTAGGAGCGGGTGCAGTTCTGAGGGCTACGGGCGGCTCCCTGAGTCCTGCTGCTTGACTTCTATTTTCTATTAAATGTGTTTCGTTGATCTTTAACATATGTATTTGAAGACAATTTTATGTGATAAGAAATCGAATGTATAAAAGTGTAAATTCCCCAGTTCACCTTCTGAAGTCACCGGGGCCTTATTTTTTGGCATTTGTAAGCTGAAGATGAAAACAATGACACCAGGGGGTTGTGGAGAAGACCAAATGAAATAAAGTAGGAGGAAATATAGACTTTCCTCCTACTTTTTCTTTACTGAAAACTACTCAGGAATTTCAGAAACACATTCTATGCATCTATGCAGTGCAGAAGACGTCTGTGAACCCTCTTAAAAATACAAGCAGAAGCATCTATACACGTTAGGTTTTTTCAGATTGTTCCTTCGTGGTGCATTTAGAGGGCCCTGTCTTTGAATGGCTGCATAGTGTTTCATTATTTGGATGAACTAACGTGCGTGTCATTCTTTGCTCGTCTTTAACGGAGCTCTGTGACTGGAGTGGGGCCTTTCTTTGCCAAGTTAATCAGGACACTCTCAGCATGCGCCCGACACAGCTCTCACCATGCACAGGGAAACTTCAGTCACACGACTGGAGCAGTTCCCCTGTTAAAAATGTCCTCAGTACCTACCCCCAGGTGCAGTTTCTCCTGGTGACCTTTTCCCCAAATCGACCCCACCCACAGCGCCTGTGCCAGGCATCCAACAGCAGATCCGAAGATGGCCAGCGTCTGTGTCCCCATCACTACCAATGTACTCCCCTCCTGAACTTCTTGAGGGGCAGAGCTCCACAGGGTTCATTTCCAGGTCTCCAGTGACAGCAGCAGATGTTTGCAGAATGAATAAGAGTTGTACTAGGAGCCCTAACTAACATCCCATAAGATTTCAGCCAGCAGGAGAAACTTGACAGGACTTCTTGGAAGAGGTGGCTATAGCAGCTTAGGCAAAGTTCCTAGCCTGGGAAAGAAGAAAGGCCATTTGGAGACAAGGGGAGGCAGTGTGCACAGATGTGGAGACGGAGCTGTCTGAGGTGTGTCAGGGTGAAGGAGGCTCTGTGCAGGCAGGGGCTTGGTATTGAGCTTGGAGAGCCAGACCCAGCCGGCTGATGGAGGACTCTAAATGCCAGGAACAGCATGGCCTTATGAAATGGGTAATAGGGAGCCCATGGAAGTTTCTGAATAGGGGCATACCTACTGCTTAACTATGCCCCCCACAGAGTATAGAGGCTTCTATGGAGGTCCCAGAGGGGTGGGGTGGGCAGAGGCCCAGCTGGAAGAAAGAATGGGCAGCATGGAGGCCCACGAGTGTGGGAGATGACAGTTTTGACAGCTGGGCACTCACACACACTTAGGTGTGCCAGGGGCTGTTCTAAGTACCTCAATTCATTCAGTCTCCAAGGCAGTCCTCCGAGGTGGGTACTGTTATTATGCCCACTTTACAGATGGGGAAAGGGCAGTCAGAGAGCGGCAATGTGCATGTGCCATGTGGCAGGCCTGTGCCACAGCAGCCTCGCAGAGCCACTGCAGCCCATGCAACCCAGAGCGCTGTCCGCACCCAGGAGGCAGTGTGCACAGATGTGGAGAAGGAAGCCTGGCTGCAGCTCCTGGCTGTCAACGTATCCTCGGCCTAGAGCTGGTGGGGACCCTGCTGAAGGCTGCACTAGCAGGGTGCAGGAACAGGAGTGACTCAAATGAAGCCAAGCCATTTGGATAGTGGCCATGGTTTCTGGCAGAAATAGTGACAGTCAGAAACTTTCAGATGGGTGAGGTTTAAAAGTGAGCTACTGCCCCACAAGCTGACTGCCAGGTTAGAATGAAAGTAAGTCCTAGGCTGAACACACACACACACACACACACACACACACACACCCTGCTCTGTGGGCTGAACAACGTTGCAGGCTGGCATCCCTTCATTTCGGTGCTCAGCCACCATGCAGGACAGGCGTGCGCCTGGCACAGGTGCCCTGATGCCCGAGGCAGAGTTCTGTTACTGCCTGTATTAGCTTCCCATGTCTGCTGTAATAAATTGCCACAAGTGTAGTGGCTTAAAACAACACATATTTATTCTCCTGCAGTTCCAGAGATCAGAAATCTGAAGTGGGTTTTACTGGACTGCGATCAAGAAATAGTGCAAGTGTAGTGATGTTGAATCATGCTTGCTCTTTGCTTTCTTAGTGTGTCTTGTAAGCCTCATTTTTTGGCACAACTATTACATACAAGACTATCCTGGTTTATGTTTACATGTTTGAAAAGTTCATTATATATATACATATGTATACATTTTAGAGACAGGGTCTAGTTTTGTCCAAGCTGGAGTGCAGCAACGTGATCATAGGTCACTGTAACCTCAAACACCTGGGCTCAAGCAATCTTCCTACCTCAGCCTCCCGAGTAGCTGGGACCACAGGCATATGCACCATGCCTGGCAATTTTTTATTTTTCGTAAAGATGGGGGTCTCCCTATGTTACCCAGGCTGGTCTGGAACTCCTGGCCTCAAGTGATCCTCCTACCTTGGTCTCCCAAAGTGCTGGGATTACAGGCATTAGCCACCACGCCTAGCCTTATATTTTTCGTAGCATAAACATATAAAAATCCTGGGAGCGCCGTGCTCCTTCTGGAGGGAGCTGGATGAAGTGCCGCAGTGCCGCAGTGCCCATTGTTCCGTGGTCATCAGGAAGCTGTGGGCCCCATCACACCACACAGCCCTTCCTGGGAACAGTGGGCACTGCTCAGCCTGAAACTCCTCCTCTGCTGAGGTTGCCAGGGTGGGTGGAGGCACTGGGCCTCCCTCCAGGCCACCCACAGTCCTGTTGCAGGGCCTTGGCAGGTCACACGACCTGTGTGAGCCCCATCGTCTTGTTTTAATGTGGAGAGCTGCCTCCAGTCCAAGGCATGGAGGATTAAGTCCAGGCCAGTGAGAGTGAGCCTTTCTTCCCCACTTAAAAGAATATTTATTGCATGCCTGTTAGGTAACTCTAGATACAGAGGATGAAGTATTAAACAAAAATAGAAGACAACTTTCATGAACTAAATAAAAACATGAAATTGCAGATAAACAGACAGTTTATCCTGGAAAGAAAAAAAACCCTTGATATAGAATAATCAGCATGAAGACATATCTAGGCTAAATTACTGAATTTCAGCAATAAAGAAAAATTCAATGGTTAGCAAATGGAAATTTTATACAAGGGGAAAATGTGGCAGACAGAGCTTTGGGGCTGTATTTCGGATTTGGAAAAATTGCCAGAATCTCCTTTGCTTAGGGCACAAGTTTGTGCTTCATTTCAGAACAGATTGAGCTTCTTACACATTTCACCTTTAAGAATGGCCGAGTCATTTCCATCAACTGACATGATTTTAAATTCACTAATTTTCACAGAACCTTTGTTGTACTTTTTGAGCTATGTAATTATCTGAACAATGTTTCTAATGCATTTGACACAACTGATTATGAAAGAAGTCCTCCTTGTCTAGCACGTGAGTAAAATGTCCCGTCAAGCCCCGAGGCGGCGGCTGGCACTGCCTTTAGAATAGTGAGGACAGTGGTGTCAGGCTGCAGCTACCACCTAACCAGCAGGCTGTGAAATCAGTTTAGGAGGTGCAGCAGTATTGACTTGAAAGTGAAATGAAAGGAGTTAGAAGAGGATGGATGTATTAGAACCCACGTGGGAAGGTTGTCTTGTTGCATGGAGTATGGGTGTATGTATCTGGGTAGCCATAGGAATTGCTTCCTATGGCTCACGATCAAAAGAGTTCATGTGTGTGTGTAAAATATATGTTGCTTTTGACAGCTTTTTCTTATATGTGCTTGCACTTGCACAGGGTACTTAAGGCCATGTGGGGTCTACTTTCCACCCTGGAGCTTCTGCATTCTACACCATAGCCACAAGCCTCAGGCAGGCCCCTCTCTGGTGCCTGCCTGGGGGTAAGCAGCGCCATCCCCAGAACAGGAGATGGTTCACCGTAAGCAAGAAGAGAGAGGGATCAGTCTGCCTTCATGAAAGGGGCAGGAGGGGGCGATCAGGGAAGGCTTTCTGCAGGAGGTGACACTGTAGATGGGCCTGGGGTGAGAACAGTCTCTGGGTGGGCAACAGGCTTCTGAGTGGAGCAGAGACAAATCCATTTGGGAGGAGGATGGCCCATCGCGGGGCCTCAGAACACCGGGCCTGGAGTCCCAGCCCCGACTGCCTCTCCGCTCTCCTACCCCAGCTGGCGCTGAGGAACGCCCTGCGCTACTTCCCCCCGGATGTCCAGGAGCTGCTGGCCCCAGAGTTTGCCCAGGAGCTGCAACTGTACGGACACATCTACATGTACCGGTTTTGCCCCGACATTGAAATGAGGTCAGCCTTGTGGGTACAGCTTCAAAGGGACCCGAGGGGCAGGCAGCTCCCGCAAGGGACTGTGCTGGGGGCCAGGAACAAGGAGGGAGTCGGCAGTGAGGGGGAAACCCAGTCTGTCCAGACCAGGAGGCAGGGGAGGGAAGATTCTGTGTCGTCGCCTCGGGAGCCGGAGCCCAGCGCTGGCTGCCGCCCTGAGCCTGCCAGAAGATAGGGGCAGCTTCTCAGGTCTCTCAGGCCCGGCCCATCTGTCCTGAGCAGCCAGTCCTGTGCAATTCTGGAGACAAATTGTATACAAAACCCCTTTTAAAAACCATGGCTTGTTTTTCTGCCAGAGGGCAGGGAGAGCTTTGGGGAGCTCTGGCAGTGACTTCAAATACCTCACGATCTCGATAAGGGTCTCAAACCACAGTGTGCACAGCACCCCTGGAGGCCTTGTGGGAACATGGGCTGCCAGGCTTCACCCCAGTTTCAGACCCAGCAGTTCTGGGGTGGAGCTTCGAGTCTGCGTTTCTGCAGTTCATTGTTCTTGAAGGTGCCAGCGGCCCAGGCTTGCCTTGAGTCATCCCAGGGTTGTTCCCTTTAAAGTAGGAGCCACGTTCCTCACTCCAGCCAGTACCTCCGGGCCTGGCACCTGCTGGAGAATTGGTGCCCAAAAGTGTTTGTTGAATGAATGAAAGAACAAATGAATAAACTCTGCTTACCCAGACGGAGAGGCTTCTGGAGAGCAGCCATCAGTTCTGCTTTGCCAGCAGCTGTCTCCCAGGTGGAGTGTGCCAAGTGGGGAGGGAGAGCAGGGTGGGTTGGGGCCTGAACGCCACCTCCCTCAGCCCTAGTGGCTCTGGAGCCCCCACTGTACGTTCCTAGCTAGTTCTGCAGGCCCCGTGTCCGGCTATCCTTGCCTGAGCGGCCAGGGGCTGGGCGGGGCCAGGCTAGATGCTGTGCTTTGGCGGGAAGGGCAGCCTGGTGGTTGGGCTTTCCCTTGCAGGGCCTACCCGATTGAGCAGTACCCCTGCCAGACGAAAGTGGCTGCCGCCATCATGCACATGATTATGAACAACCTGGATCCTGCCGTGGCCCAGGTAATAGCCAGGGAAACCGAGGCCCAGCACTGTCCAGCAGAAACAGAACACGAGACACACGTGTCATGCTTTTAAGCTCTTAATTTTGAGATAATTATAGATTCACAGAAAGTTGCAAAGCTAGTAAGAGAGGTCCCTGGCCCTTCCCTCGGCTTCCCCCAGTGTTTGCATCCGTGTCTATAGTACAGCCTCAAAACCAGGAAGTCACTGTGGCTGCAGTGGACACACGTCCAATTTTAAATATTCTAGCAGCCATATGAAAAAGTAAAAATAAACAAATTTACACTATATTTTATTCATCCTGATATATCAAAAATATTATTTTTTTACTTTTTTTTTTTTTTTTAGAGAGACAGGGTCTCACTCTGTGGCCCAGGCTGGAGTATAGTGGCTTGATCTTGGCTCACTGCAACCTCAACCTCCGGGGCTCAAGTGATCCTCCCACCTCAGCCTCCCGGGTAGCTGGGACTACAGGCACCCGCCACCATGCCCAGATCCAAAATATTATTATTTTAACATGTAATCTATATAAACATTATTAATGAGATATTTTACATTGTTTTTCATCCTGAGCCTTTGAAATCAGGGGTGTATCTATGCAAGGAGCAGAGCTGAAAAGCCACTCATGACTGGTGGCCACCATATTGGGTAGCATGGATCTGGCCCCATGTGCCTGTCTTGGGCACCCTGAGCCAGTCTATAGAGCAGCTGCCCATATTTGAGAATGGAATGCCTCTGGGGTGTGTCCCTGCATTCCTTGGGGGTGATATGTTGCCAGAATGTGACCACTTCGCCTAGTAGGTGGAAACGCCCTAAACCCTGGCCCTGGCCCCAGACCCTGGTCACAGATCAACCCTGCCTTTGACCCCAGGCTGAGTTCCCAGAGTGACCCCAGACCCAGATCTGCCCCTGACCCCAAGCTGAACCCTTGCTCCAGTTGCAGCTGGGGCCGGTGTTCTTGCAGATGTGTCCGTCCCTGGGCCTCACCCTTCTGGCTTCTCTCCTTGTCCCATTGGGCCCCCAGGGGATGGGGGCCCTTTCTCTCCCTGTCTGCAACTCCATAGGCCCTTCCCAGGCCCTCATCTCAGATGACCCCGTGTCTTCCTCAGTTTCCCCAGGAGCTGGTGACCTATGGAGGAAATGGGCAGGTGTTCAGCAACTGGGCTCAGGTACTGCACACCGTGTGGCCTCGTCCCCACCCCTGGCCTTTCCTCTAGTCTGGTCCTCTGGCCTAGGAGCTTACAAACCCACAGCTCAGGATGCAGGCCTCTGCCTCCCTGGTGCCTGAGGCTCCAGCATTGGAGATTGTGTGGGGAAATTTCAGGTTATAGGAATGGGCGAGGTGGTGTTGAGGGAGGCACCAGGGCCACTGGAGTGGAATGGAGACCTGGGGGCCTGTGGGAGCTGTCCAGGCGTGGACGGTGGTGTGGGGCTGGGTGTGGGGTGCTGCTTCTGTTGACAGAATCCCCACGCTCTGCTCTTCCCCCAGTTCTGGCTGACCATGTTCTACTTGTCGAAGATGACAGAGGAGCAGACTTTGGTCATGTACAGTGGGCACCCACTTGGCCTCTTTCCCAGCAGCCGCAGTGCCCCACGGCTCGTCATCACCAATGGGATGGTGGGTCCCCAGCAGGTGGCACAGCACCTGCCCAGGGCTCCAAAGAGAGGGTGCAGACGCTGGAAAGAAAGCCCAGTGCCCCAACGCTGTGCATCATCCCCAGGGCTCTGTGCTCGCCCTCCAAGCCCTCAGCCCCTCTGTCTGCCCCCATCCTCTTCTCCAGGTCATTCCCAACTACTCCTCCCGGACGGAGTATGAGAAGCTCTTTGCCTTGGGGGTTACAATGTAAGTCACTATTTCAGTCTGTTTACACCGTGTTTCCCCGTTAGCCATGGGTCATTATAAAGCAAAGTGGTGATATTAAATACAAGTTTTGAAAGACATAGTCACAGAACTGTAGCATAATTAATTTTATTTTTACATATTCCCTAGTAGTTTTATGTATATGCTTACAAATTTTATATTCTTGAATGCAAGAGAACCTACAAATTTAGATCCTGCCTTTTTCCACATTTTATTATGAACAATTTCAAACATGCGAAAATTGACCGAATTTACAGTGAATACCACCGAATTTCTGTGACGAATGTGCTACTTACCATACTCACTTTATCATGTGGCTATCTGTCCCTCTGCCTATCCATCCATTCAACTTGTTTTTTTTTTTTTTTATGCATCTCACAGTCAATTGAAAATATTACTGACGGGAATTCAACGTTTGTTTATGTTTTTTTTCTTTTGAGGTGAAACTTGCATGTAATAAGATGCACACATCTTACATGCACCACATTTTGGGTTCTGACAAAGTGTGCATCTGTGCAACCAAAACCATTAGGCACAGAATGCGGCCAGTGCCCCAGAGAGGTCTCGCACAGCCCCTCTCAGGGAATGAAAGCTTTTCATTTGTTATAGAGGTAATGCAAACTATTTCTTTTTCTTTCCTTTTTGAGATGGAGTTTTGCTCTTGTTGCCCAGGCTGGAGTGCAATGGTGTGATCTCGGCTCACTGCAACCTCCACCTCCTAGGTTCAAGTGATTCTCCTGCCTCAGCCTCCCAAGTAGCTGGGATTACAGGCATGTACTACCACGGCCAGCTAGTTTTTTGTATTTTTAGTAGAGATGGGGTTTCACCATGTTGGCCAGGCTGGTCTCGAACCGCTGACCTCAGTTGATCCGCCCACCTCTGCCTTCCAAAGTGTTGGGATTACAGGCATGAGCCACGGTGGCCGGCAATGCAAAGTATTTCATTAAGCATTATAAATGGAGCTACACTGAAAAGGAGATCCCTCTTACGTCCTAGATTCTCCAGTTGACAGTGTCTCCTGTGTTCTTCCAAACACTTTCTATGCATGTGGGCTTGGCAATTTAGGTGGTTAGACCATTCGAGCCGGCCTCTGTGCCTTGCCTTTCCCACCTTCACAAGAGAGCTAGGAGATTGCTGCATTTCAGGAAGCAGATCTCATGTATTCTTCCTTTACCTGCAATGTTCAATTGCACTAATTTATTTAACCCTTTTGCCTCCCAATCTGTCTTGCTTCCATGGGCACAGTGCAGGGCCCTGTCCCTCTCTGCCATGTGGTGTTTCCGCCACTCACTTCTCTCGTCTCCGGTGGAGGGGCATCTCAGCAGCTTCAGGTCTTGGCCCTTGTGCCTAAAGTTGCGGTGAACATCCTTGTGTGTGTCTCTGCCTGGCGTAAGCATGTAGTGTGGGCATGCTGCACACATTCAGCTGGAGTCTATACAGCCAAATATTCCCCAAAACAATTCTTCACCAATTACACTACAGTTTTTAACAGAACAAAATCTGCTTGTAAAATGTCTGGAAGGCGAGAGGGGACAAGGGTGTCCATAGCCTTCTTGTGTTCTCTGTGCTCTCTCTATTTTATGTGAAGGAGAATATATTAATGCCTATTGGGTAGTTAAATACTAATTTTCAACCTCCTAAAAGGAGTGGCTGGGAGGACCTGGGCCTGGCACTGGCTGAGCCCTGGGCTTGGCTTCTCTCCCTGTGGTCAGGTACGGCCAGATGACAGCAGGTAGCTACTGCTACATCGGTCCCCAGGGAATCGTTCATGGCACTGTGGTGAGAGATGGGGCCACGCCTGGCTGTGGGCTTCCCAGCATGGGGGGTGGAGGGGGCGGGCTGGGAGTGGGCAGTGAGCCCCCACCTCTTCTCCCTGCAGCTCACCGTGTTGAATGCTGCACGTCGGTACCTGGGCATCGAGGACTTGGCTGGGAAGGTCTTTGTCACCTCTGGGCTCGGCGGAATGAGTGGGGCTCAGGCCAAGGCCGCAGTCATCGTGGGGTGCATCGGTGTGATAGCAGAGGTAAGCTGGGGGGCTCCTGGCCTTCGCTCCTGCCTGCCTCCCTCCCTCCCTCCCTCCCTCCCTTCTTCCTCCCGGATCACTTACACCACAGACCCCCCTTCTCATCCTTCCTTGCCCAGGCCACCCTTGCCTCCTCCACGAAGCCCCACTGGACCTCACTGGGTGGGTTCCCATGGGCGGCATAAGCTTCCTGCTTTCAAAGTGCCCATCACCCTGCATGGGCAATGCCTATCGACTGCCCTCCCACAAAACTCTGACCACAAAACTCTGACCGTCTATTTATGGGTATAGCTTTCCTGTATCCCACCACATCCCTGGAATACAGATGGGAGGGAATGAATGTGTGTGAATAAATGAACTCATAGACTCCCCACCTTGAACAGGTGGGGAGGCAGAGAGGTCACCCTCCATAGAGGTGAGTGCAGGCAGCTTTCCCTCAGTGGCCGCATCATCTTAGTTATTTGAGTTTCTATAAAGGAACACCTGAGGCTAATTTATAAAGAAACGAGGTTTGTTTGACAGTTCTGCAGGCTGTACATGAAGCATAGTGCCCACATCTGCTTCTGTTGAGGTCTCAGAAAGCTTCCACTCATGGTGGAAGGTGAAGGGGGTCTGGTGGGTCACACGGTGAGAGAGGGAGAGCAGGGAGAGGAGAGGGAGGTGCTGGACCTTTTAAACAACCAGCTCTTGTAGGAACAAACAGAGCAAGAACTCAGTCATTACTGCAAGGACTGCATCAAGCCATTCATGAGGAAGCTGCCCCATGACCCAAACACCCCCCATCAGGCCCCACTTCCAACACCAGGGATCAAATTTCAACATGAGGTTTGGGGGACAAATATATCCCAACTATAGTAGGCTCTCGCATCTTTCTTTGGTGGGTGCTAAGGAGAGGAAGGGAAGTCGGAAGTGGAGGAGGCAAGGAGCCTTGAGGCAAGGCTTGGCGATATGTGCCAGTGGGATTTGCACTCAGTTGATGCCAAACCTACATCATACGTACCTGTGCTTGTTAGGAGTGCACCAAGCTGCAGGTAACAAGAAACCTACCTACAGCGGCTTGTGTAAATAGGGTTTTATTTTTCTCACGTAACCAACAGTGTTGGCATTGGTTTGGCAGCTCAATGATGTTAATATCTCTTGATTCCTTTGGGCTTCCCTTGTAGAAACAATGGCTGCCCCTACCCTAGCCATCCTATCCATGTTCAAGGCAGGAAGAGGTGAGAAGGGAAGTGTCTGCTATGACTCTATTTTTTCAGGAAAGTCATGTCTCCAAACCCTCTCCTTTTATCTCATTGGTCAGTCTTAGTTGAAATCGATGTTCTTATCTGCAAGGGAGGATGGAGATCGTGGACAAGTCCTTGTGATTAGCTTGGACGTAGACCATCTCCTGGGGCTGAACCGTGTCACCCTGAACACTACCTGGGTTCTGCTTATAAGGGAGGTGGGAGAAGGAATAAATAGAGGGAGGGCAGCTCATGGTGTCTTCCCTGAGACTGTGTTATAGAAAAGCAAGGGACCTACAGGGGATGACACCTTCCTAGTTGAGGATGATACACTTAGGGAAGATTTGTAACCGGGTGGCCCCATGTCTCGTGGCCCCATGTCTCATGGCCCCAGGTGGATAAAGCAGCCCTTGAGAAACGCCACAGGCAGGGCTGGCTGATGGAAGTGACTGACAGCTTGGACCGCTGCATCCAGAGGCTCAGGTACAGCTCCAAGCTCAACTCCGGACACCTGACACCTGACACGTGGCAGCAGGAGACCACAAGAGGACCCCCATGGGGCAGCTTGGTGTGGGCCTGTTTAATGCCTGACAGCTGGCTACATGTGGGCACCACACATACATGCACATGTACATATACATGCGCACACACACACACACGCACACAAGGGCTGACCCGCGGGTGGTGATAGGGCAGAAGCCTCTGGAAGGGCCTCCAACATTCCGTCATTGCCGGCTGCAGCCACTGGGCTGTGGGCTTGGTGTCAGACACTTGGCCTTGATGGGCTTCAGGTAGCCTTCTTGGGGCTCCCATGCTCTTACCTGGTTCTGCGAAGCATGAATCTTCTTTTCCCTGCTGTGTGGGCTCGCAGAGCCACCCGGCCTGATAGGGGCTGCCCTGCGCTGTTGCAGTGGCGAGCCTGTGAGGCGTGCACTCCCTCCCTGTGCTCCAGGGCAGAGCTTCGCCCACGGTGCTGAGGGGCAGTCGGTGGGTTTCTCCGCCTCAACCCTAGGCAAAGTCTTCAGAGGTATTTCAGTGGGATGGTGGGAAGACTGCCTTGGGGGCTCCTGCTCGGATGCCACTTTTGAAGCATCCTCTCAATTAATTTACTGCCCAGAGCAGAGTCCTGTTACGGGAAGACACATCGGTGCAGTGGTTGCCCACCTGGCTTCAACTAGAATCTCCACAGGGGCTTAAAAGCTGTTTCTGATGAAAATGTAAACAAAATTTGAGAAACGATGCAGTGAACTATTTTGACCTATCATTCTAACATACCAATCCAACCACATTGCACCCTCTTTAGAACTCTCAGATAATTTTTCATCAATGATAGAAGAAATTCCACACTCCAGGTGTGCTGTGAGGGGCTTCCCCGACCTAACTCCCATCCCTATTCAGGCTGTTTAGCATCCTGAGTGTGTGCATGTACACACACACACACATAAACGCACACACATAAACACACACAACATGCATGCACACACATATAACCACACAGACACACCCACATACATAAACACACATATAACACACACATAAACACACAACACACACATGCACATACATACACAGAGAATGCAGCACACACATGCACACAAGCTTGCACACACAAACACACAACACACATGTAACACACATGAACACACTTAACACACATAAGCACACATACACAGAGAACACAGCACACACATGCACACATACTTGCACACACAAACACACACAACATACACATGCATGCACATAAACAGACACATAACACACAACACATACATAGACACACACATAAACAGACACACAACACATGCATGCACACACAGGCACACACAGAGTGCACACATGCACACACATAAACACACACATACACATAAATACAGACACAGACATACACACATGCACACACAAACACAAACATGCATAAACACATAACTCATGCACAAACATAAATACAGACATAACACACACATGCATACACACTAACATGCATAAACACAATACGTATGCACACACATGCACACACAACACACAATGCACATATACATAATAAACACAAACACATAACACACATACATGCACACACAACACATAAACACATGTAAACACATGTACACAAACATGCATGTAACACAAACACACAAACGCACACAACACACATGCACACATGCATAAACATGCACAGAGACACACAGCACACACAAACACATAAACACACAGGCGCACACACACATAAACACACAGACACATGCACACACCATAAACACACACAGACACACACACAAACACACGCAACACACACACGCACATGCCCATAACATATATTCTCACATGCATACATACACATATGCATATACACGCATATATACATATATATGTACAAATGCATGCACATCCACACATGAACACACACACATACACATACATCAAAATCAGTTTAAGGAACTGTCTCGAGCAACCTGTCTGCCACACTTCCGCAACCCCCGAGCTGAGGAAGACCCATGGGAATGGAGTGAGCTCTGCTCACGGTTCCCACAGGGTCCTTCAGCTGGGATTGCAACAAGCCCTGGGCTGGGCCGGCCTCCCTGCTGCCCTGGGACTGTGTGTCCTTTCCTGCTTTGTCAACCTTGCACCCCTGGGGGAGGGGAGGTGCCTGGCTCCCTCGGGCTTCTCCAGGCCACTCCTGGTAAGCATTCAATCTGCTCTTTCATGGGGACCATACCACCTTCCCTGTGCATTGCTGCTTTTTGATATCTCTACTACCTGCAAGGCCTGTTCAAATCTTCTGTTTCCCAAAATATGCTTTGATTTTTCCTGTCCTATTTTTCCGAATAATTTTGGGAATCATCTTTAGTGAATCCTGCAACTCTGGGACCACCTTGGGTGGGTTCTGTAAAGATCCCTGTGGAGGACCCACATCAATAACCCGAATTCCATGGATCGCCCAGGCAGTTTTGCCACTGCCATGTGGGTTTTCTGGTCTGGGGAATTTGGGTCTGGATTTTCCCTTTATAGTTTTGTGTCCTGGACAAAAGTCGGGGTCCTGCAGGCATGCTTCATGGCCCAGCCCCATGGCCCCCACGTTTGCACACAACACCTCTGGTGGCCTCCTGGGTCTGCCCCTGTGTGCAGCTGGGGTGCAGGTGTGTCTGGGGCACCTATGCACAGGTGCAGGGGGCACCTGTTCTGCTTTTGTGTCCTTCCAGGGAAGCAAGGAAAAAAAAGGAGGTGCTCAGCCTTGGTTACCATGGCAACGTGGTGGCTCTTTGGTGAGTGGGGGTTGGGAGTTGATGGCCAGCTTGGGAACCCAGATGGGGCCCCCTGAGCAAAGACCTCAATGCTGACCAGGAGCTGCCAGGACACAAAGCTTTGAGCCCCAGTTCAGCGCCACCCTTGTTGGCCCACACCCTTACCCAAGCTTGAGGCAGCCGTCCCTGCCCTGCCCACAGCCTTCCCGTAGGTTCTCTTTCCAGGGGGAAAGCAGGGTCTGGCTCGGGCTGTGCCTGCTGGATTTGTGGGTGGGAAAATGTGCTAGGGTCCCCACCTGGCTGGCCCCAGACTCTGGGCCCAGGCTGTGTGTGGCTTGCACTGACCACCGCATGGCTTCCCCAGGGAGCGCCTGGTCCACGAATTGGACACGACGGGGGAGTGCTTGGTGGACCTGGGGTCAGATCAGACATCCTGCCACAACCCGTTCAATGGCGGCTACTACCCTGTGCAGCTCAGCTTCACGGAGGCCCAGAGCCTCATGGCCTCCAACCCTGCTGTGTTCAAGGACCTGGTCCAGGAAAGGTGCTACTTGGAGTTGGGGGTGGCAGAAGCATTTGGCCTGGGCAGACCACCTTGTCCTGCTCTGGCCACCACCTAGTTCTCCAGCAACCAGCTGCTTGGCCTTGGGCAAGACCTTAACCTCTCTGAGCCTCTGCCTCCACCCATCAGACGGAGTCATGACACACTTACCTCTCGGCAGTGCAGGGGGACAAGCTGAGTGACATTTGCTGAATGCCCAGTGTAGTCCCGGCATGGCGCCAAGTAGATGCTGGGGTGTGAGACCTCTCTGGGGCATCTGTTTTTCCCCAGGGCCTGATGGGGTTGGGGACCAGGAAATGCTTGTTTAGGGAGTTGCCAGCTGGGCCTTGAAAGGTGCAGAGGTTCTAAACAGATGACAGGGGCAGGGGCATTCCAGGTGTGTGGTGCCGACCCGAGGAGCAGGAGCAGTCCAGGCAGTGGGGCTGGAAGTTGGTGGGGAGCATGGCGGGTGCGACTGAGGGTGCCACATTGGGGAGGCCCCAGGGCCTCACAGCGGTGGTGCTGACCCATGGCTTGTTGCAGCCTGAGGAGGCAAGTCTCAGCCATCAACAGGTTGGCCGAGGAGAAGTTCTTCTTCTGGGACTACGGCAATGCCTTCCTCTTGGAGGCCCAGAGAGCAGGTAGGAGGAAGGAGGAGGGAGGAGGAGGGAGGGGCCACCACCCTGGGCCCAGCCTCTCAGGCCAGTGCCACTGGCTCCCACCTCACTCGGAGGTGCCATGGGTGGCCCAGCAAATCCTGACCGAGGCTTCACTGTGCCTCTGCCAGGCCTTCTGGATGCTGAGGCCCAGCCAGGTGGCTCAGCCTCTCTGGGCCTCAGTTTCTCCATGTGCTTTAGGAACATAAAGTCCCATACGGAGAGCAGGTACAAGACTCAGGTGCAAGCTCCAGTCCCAAAATTGCAGCTTTCCTTTTCTGTGATGGAAACTTCCTTCTGTAAAATGGGCAATTCTTTCATGGGGTATGAGGTTCAAAAGGCACAGTGTCCGCAGTGGGAAGCCCCCCCAGCCCTGTCTACCTCCCTGCAGGTGGCGGGCTCTGGCGCGCTGGAGGCTGACACAGCGTCCATGGCAAGCGCATGCATCCTGCACCTGGCCACACAGACAGCAGCATGCTGGCCACGGCTGCCCCTGCTTTTCTCTTCTTTTACATGAAAAAGACCTTGTGCATCCTTCCCCAGCCTCCCTCTGGGCCCTGTGTTTAAGTTGCCATCTAGGGTGGCCATGGGTGTCCTGCCTTGGGTGGTGACTGTCCGGGCTCTGCCCACAGGAGCGGATGTGGAGAAGAAAGGTGCTGGCAGGACAGAGTTCCGCTACCCTTCCTATGTGCAGCACATCATGGGGTGAGTGATGGGCGGCTGCCACATCTAGTGTGCCCAGTGCCACCCCTGCCCCGTTCAGGGTCTGCGTCCTGGGTATTTAGGTTGGAGAAGCTTCAGCCTCTGACCGCCCCTGAGGTCATGCGCTGAGACCTCCACACTGCCCCAAAGTGGCCAGGCTCTGTCCATGGGTTTTCCACCACAGACAGGCAGGTGAGGAGGAAATGCAGACGAGAGACGCCTCCTGCAGGGCCTCAGTGAGAACAGGGGGCTGCGGGGCCTAGAGGCTGAGGCCACTTCCTGGCAAACAACTGCACCTGAATAATATGTCTTCACAGGCCCTCGTGGGTGGCTGATGGCTGGATCATGAAGCCCAGCACCTGCTGTGGCCCTGGGGGTCGTGGGCCTCTCTGGCCATGGGGGTGCAGGTCTAGGGAAGGCCAGCAGCCCAGGACAAGCAGGGGATGAGGGCGGGAGCCAGAGAGGAGCCTGGGCCAAGCTGAGAAGTCTGGGCTTTCTGCTGGGGGCAGGAGGGACCACATGACTTTTGGAAGATGTGCCAGTCCTCAGTGGGTGCCACATGGGACGAGAGAGAGATGGAGGTGAGAAAGGCAAATGCCACTTACTGTCAAGCTCACTGTGGGGTGCAGAGGTGGGAGGGGCTGAGCACTGTCAGCTGGCACTCTCCGGAGAGGGAGGGCTGCCCAGGAGGAGGCACCCCCTGGCCTAGCAAGTGCAGGAGCCCAGGGAGGGCCCAGGCCACGGCATCCTCCCCCCAGGACAGCCCTGTCCTGGAGCCTGGCTCCTGGGAAGATAAGCTCACCTAGGGCGAGTTCCCCAAGGCTACAGCCCCAGGTTGACTCTCCTCTCAATGTGACTGTCACTTTTAGGTGATGGATTTTCTTGTCATCTGTAACAGCAATTGGGGTCATTTCTGTTTGCCCAGGTCCCAGCTCCCCACTCCTGTAGCTAGAGATGGTACAGCCAGGAGGCAGGGATGGAGGGCTGGGGGCACTGGGACACAGAGAGGGGACAGGGAGGCCCCTGGAACTTTCTGTCCAATGACAGCTTAGGGGGTTCCACACCTGACTTCTGGATGCTGAGCCCTCCTCCCTGGCATGCTCACACCTGCACCCCCTCCCCCAACAAGCCAGCGGGCCCAGGGTGAGGAGGCATCTGTGCTTGCAGGGACATATTCTCCCAGGGATTTGGGCCTTTCCGCTGGGTGTGCACATCGGGGGACCCCCAGGACCTGGCGGTCACAGACGAACTGGCCACATCTGTGCTGGAGGAAGCCATTGCTGATGGAGGTGACGCCATTGGTGGGGATGCCCATGGGTGGGTGGCCCCCCCAAAGCTTCTGCCTCCATAGAGACAAGCTTCTATAGCAGGCCCACCTAGCTAATTCTGGGAGGGAACCTGGGCGCAGATGACTTTGTGAGTCTGGTGGGTGCTCAGCTGGCAACACAAAGGGACTTAAAGAAACTTGAGTGAGTTGCAAAGATCCTGGTCCCCAAGTGTCGTTCTCAGCCGTGGAGGCACAGGCCCCACCCACACCAAGCCTCTGCCCTCCAGAGCTGTCCTGGGCTCTGCCAGTGAGGACCTCTGGCTGCGAGTGACAGAAAGCCCCTCAAAGCGGCTGAAGCAGGACGGTCCAGGGCTAGGGTGGCCAGGCAGCAGTGGCCGGGGCCAGGCTTTCTGGGCAGCCCGCAGCACACCACAGTCCCTCTCAGACCCAGCCTCCCCCTCCACGTGGCCAGGGCAGTGCTGACAGCAGTGCTTCTAGTTCCTTCTTGCTGTCTTCCATGATGAAGCTGTCTCCACATGCTCCCGCCAGCCTTCCACGCCTGCCAGGTCCACAAGGGTCTCCTCTGCATCAGGGTCCCCCATGTTCATCCTGGGTTTTGCTGATGCTGAGTGTTGGTTCTGCCAGAGGGTTGTGTTTTTCCATGTCTACATGGCCTGCCTGGGTTTTAACCAACCTTTGTTCTCGTTGAGTGGGTCTGACGTTGTTGTTTCATGGTTATTTTATGACACTTCCTCTGTTGTTGCAGTTCTTACCCCGGTCTCTCTGCAGCTTTCCTGCAGGTCGGGTGGCTTTTCTGTGTGGTTCACCAGCCTCTGCTGTGTGCTTCACATCTCTAGGGCCCTTACACCCTGCTGCTGGCCATGTTCGGTGGGCTGGGCAGGGGCCCAGGTTACACAGACTCAGAGTAGGAGAGCCAGGCAGAGGGGAGACGTGGTCACCTGTGGAGGAGGAGGCGGGCAGGGGCCCAGGCAGGAGGGCAGGGGAAGCAGGGGCCTTCTCCTGGGGGTCTGGTCAGATGTCTCCTGGGCTTCCCTGGTGTGAGAACAGCAGGCAGCCAGTGGGGAACGACCAGCCCTCCGGAAAGAAGCCCTGAGCTGCTGCACCCACGAAGACCCTGGAGTAAAGACTCCAGGCCTGGCTGGTTTCCAGGCGTGCTGACCCAGCTCCACATGCCCGCAGCACATGCCCTGCGGCATCTCCACCAGGCAGATACTCTAGTCGAAGGCTGTGAAGTCACAGGAGTGAGGGATTTCTATTACCTTCATTTTAATATAATTTGGTAAAAGTGTAAGCTTATTTAAAATTTTAATGATATTTATGTTAACCACTGGCTCCCACAATTTCTGGAAAATTACCAGTCTGCTTTCACGAGCTGGTCAGGCTGGCTCCTGTGCCCTCTCACATGCACACATACTCCGTGAGCTTGGCCAGGTAGCTCCTGCATAGGCCAAGTTTATTTTCACCTCAGGGCCTTTGCACTGACTGTTCCCTCTGCCTGGAAGGCTGTTCCCTCAGAGCTTCCTTGTCCGGTTCCTTCCCAGCCTTTAGACTCAGCTTGATGGCCACTTCCTCAGAAAGCCCCCGCATCCACCATCCTGGGGAGCCCTCAACACAGTCCTGTGTTCCTCACGGCCCACAGCGGTCTTTGTTCCTGGTGCCTTGCTCAGTGTTGGTGTATAGTAGGCACTGAATAGCTATTTGTGGAGGGACCGAGTGCATCAGGCAGTGCGCTGCACGGCTGTGCATTATTAATTCATGGGGCCACTGGCACTGCTGGTCCCCAAGTTCACAAAGGCAGGGGTGGGGTGGGGTGGGCTCCCTCACCTTGTGTCCTAGCTCAGTGGTGGGCTCGGGGCAGGGTCTGTGCTGAGCTGAGCAGCCTGCCTGAGGGCAGGTCTGTGCCCCTGGAGGGTCTCTGACGCCTGCTGTCCTCTCTCCTGCAGTGAAGGTGTCTGTGAAGCTGCAGTACATGGACAACATCCGCTGGATCCGGGAGGCCGCCAGGCACCGGCTGGTGAGGGCCCAGGCCTGGGGGAGGCTGGGGTGGCTGTGCTGTCAGAAGACTGCCCAAAGGTGAGGTGCTGCTGACGGGCGCTCAGCCTGGTCCACAGCCTCCAGCTTGCCAAGCCCTGAGAGGGTGCACACACAAGATCCTGTGTGACTGTTTGTGCCAGCCCCATGGTGGCCACACTGGGAGGGGAAGCAGCCCAAGGGGCTGCTGGAGAAAGAAGCCGGGGACCTTTAAAGGGTGGCCTGGGAGAGGACACGGAGAATTTGGAACCCTTGTGCATTGTTGGTGAAATGGTGCAGCCACATGGAAATCAGGAGGAAGCTTCTGCAAAAAATCAAAAATAGAATTACCCTATGACCCAGCAATTCCACTTCTGGATGTGTAGCCCAAAAAATTGGAAGCAAGGACTCAGAGAGATACTTGCACGCCCATGTTCACAGCAGCACTATTCACAATGGCTAAGCTGCGGAAGCCACCCAGGTGTTCCCTGATGGACGAATGGATAAACAAAGTGTGGGTTAACCATGAGATGGAATATGACTCGGCCTCAAACGGAAGGGAGTGCTGACACACGTGACAACATGGATGAACCTGGAGGACACCATGCTAAGTGAAATAACCCAGTCACAAAAGGACAAATACTGCATGGTTCCATGTCTATGAGGTCCCTAGAGCAGTCAAATTCATAGAGACAGAAAGCAGAATGGTGGGTGCCAGGGGCTGGGGGATGTGGAATGGGGAGATGGATGGGGCAATGGTTTTACATTATGAATCGACTTAATACCACTAAACTGTGTACTTAGAAATGGTTAAGATGGTACATTTTATGTATGTATATTTTATAATTTAAAACGTAGAGGGGGAAAGTGGCCTGGGGCTCTGGGGCAGCGACTAGAGTTGGGCAGGTCGTTCTTCATCCTGTTACTCAACAAATAGAGGCAGCCCTGCAGAGGAAAGAGTTTGGGCTCTAGAGCCAGGCTGCCTGGGCCTGAGAAGCCTCCCGTATCCTCAGCTGTGTGACCTGGGGTGAGTGGTTCAGCCTCTCTGAGCGCCACGCCCTCATCTGCAAAGCGGAGACGGTGGTGGCAGTGTTTGGAGCAGGCCCCTGTGGCCCTGCTTGTACAGGGGGTGTGTTGTGAGGCTGAGCTAACAGATGAGTCTTGCCCAGTTTCTGCTGGGTGTGTGTGCAGGAAAGCACCAGCAGGGAGGGGTGGGTGGGGCTGCCTCACACAGAATGGCCAGGGAAGGGGTCCAGCATGTGCATCCAGGTCTACATGCTGAGAGGGTTGCAACCATGTGACAATCGAGGCAGAGGGACCAGCCCTTGCACAAGCCCCAGCCTGTACACAGGCCCCACGGTGGCAGTAGACTGGGTGTAATGAGGACAAAACAGAAGAAAAAGTGGGCATTTGGTTCATACACCTTTGGCCATGGACCGTGTCTGAACTAGTGGGTCTTGGCCCAGGAGTCCCAGGGCCAGGAGAGGCCTGCCCCTGTCCTGGGCTGTCTCATCCATACGCAATGGTTTGCATTTGTATCCAGCCTCAGAGTCCCCGTGCCAACAGCATCTCTGTGACGGTGCTGAGTCAGAGATGCCAAGGCCAAGACTCGGAGGCTGGAGCTGCAGGGTCAGTGCAGAGATGGGGTGGAGAAGAGAGGGGGGATAGCCTGAGAGGATGGATGCCAGCATGGCTGAGAAGGGGCCGTGGGAGGTGCCAGAGTTGAGGGTGTAAGGGGTGGATGCTGCAGCTGGAGCTGCAAGCAGGGTGCGTCTGCTTTGACTTAAAGTCCCCTGGAGATCGTGTGCCTCCTGATACTTACTGTTGCTTTCTCTTCTGAACGGTGACTGCAGAAGGTTGCCTTTTAAAATTTTTTGATTTATTTTCTTTTAATGTACCCTCTTGACAAAGTGGGCAATCCTATGTCAGTTCCTCACCAATTTTTTTCTGGATCCAAAAAATCTGAAAATCTCTGCAGTGCTGATTCACACGAGTAGTTTTTCTGAAAAGGATTTGAGGCAGCTGGTGTGAGTAAAATAAGCCTGTTCTCTAGGAACCCATGAGGGAGGAAGAAGCAGCTAGACTCATTGTCCCGGCCAAAGCTGAGCTTGCGGTCAGGTGCACAGCTGCTTCCGTGGCCCGGCCCTGCTGCCTTTTACCGGCTCCTGGTCGAGCTCACCAGCAACTGGGGCAGACACCTGCATCTTCTTTGGAGAAACCAGGGTTTCTCAGCCTCAGCGTACTGACATTTGGGGCTGTACAAATTTTCTTTAATTATGGTAAATTATACATAAACGTAAAATTTACCATCTTAACCATCTTTGCCATTTTTGAGTGTGCAGTGCAGTGGCTTCAAGCACATTCATACTGCTGTGCAGCCATCACCACCATCCATCTCAGAGCTTTTTCACCTTCCCAAACCAAAACTCTGTCCCCATTAAACACTAACTCCCCATTCTACTCCCACGGCCCCTGGCACTCAACAACCTCATATAAGCGAGATCAGACAGTGTTTGTCCTTTTGTGTCTGACTTATTTCTCCTATCATAATGTCTTCAGGGTTCATCCATCCATGTTGTAGCATGGGTTGGAATTTCCTTCCTTTTAAGGCTGAATCACAATCCACTGTATGGACAGACCACGTTTGGTTCATCCGTGCACCACGCTGGATACCCAGGTCGCCTCCACCTCTCAGCTGTTGTCATGCTGCTGTGAACGTGTGTGTGCACATATCTCTTGGAGTCATTGGGGGCTTCTTCATCACGGGGGCCGTTGTAGAGTATTTAGCAGCATCCCGACCCATGCCAGCAGCACCCAAAAATGTCTTCAGTCATTGCCAAATGTCATCCTGCTTGAGGACCGCGGGGCTACACAGTGACTCATTTCATGCGCTGAAGCTGTCTCCCGGGGACAACCACCCATTACTGTCAGGAGATGCGATCACTGGGTGGCTGAGCTCGTGGGTGCAGCAGACAGACAGAGGGCCCAAGGTCAACCTGTAGACAGGTGGCTCCACCTCTTGGGGCCATTTCCTCATCTGGAAAATGGAGCTTATGATGAGGATGACAGTATCTTCCCATAAGACTCACAGACAAGAGGCTGTATGGCACACTGAGAGTGGGGCAGGCCCAACGCAAACTTGCCCTGGATGGCGTTGATGTCATCACTGTGGGATGGAGCAGGAGCAGTGCTCGCAATAGGTAACCTCCCTGGAGCACAGATGGCTCAGGGGCTCCAAGGCCCCTCTGGGGATAATCTGGGATTGGGGGAGGTGTCTGGAGGCCCAGACTACAGTGGACATGTGGGGCCGGTATGGCTGTCTAGTGGGCTGAATGTGGGGGCTCACCTCAGGCCACAGATTTGAGAGCTACCATGCACCCTGGGGGTCCTCCTGGACCTTGTTAGGCGCTCAGGCTGCCAAGGGCCATGTCCCACAGTGGAAGTGCCACCCGTGTCTCCCTGCACCCCAGGTCCTGTTATTGCTGCCTATGTTGGCTGAGATGCCAGTTGCCCTTCTCTCCTCAGGTGGTGGGCTCCCAGGCAAGGATCCTGTACTCAGACCAGAAGGGCCGCGTGGCCATCGCTGTGGCCATTAACCAGGCCATCGCCTGCAGGAGGATCAAGGTGAGGTGTCCTGTGCTCTGGGGGAAGCATCCCTCAGCCTCTTCCCACTGCCTTTCCTGCCTTGGGCCTTCCTGCGTGTGCCTCGGCTGCACCCCACAGCCTTCTGGGTGGGGAGACACCCCCGTTGGGCCTCAGCAGCCCAGTGCTCAGGAGCAGTGGACCAGCCCCTCCCGGGAGCTTAGCTCTTCCATGGCTGAGGCCCAAACTTCCCCCTCTTTAGGGAGATCAGGTTTTGCTGAAGGTTTTGGTCCCTGGGACCAGCTGAGTAGTAGGGCTCTGCTGGGGAGGCAAGGGTAAGGCGGCTGTGAGGGGGTGGTGGGAAGGAGGGCCTGGGGGAGCAGGAGCAGTGCTTGAAATAGGTAACCTCCCTGAAGCATAGGTGGCTCAGGGGCTCCAAGGCCCCTCTGGGGATAATCTGGGATTGGGTGAGGTGTCTGGGGACCCTGCTCTGTGTGTGTCAGGCCCCATCATTGTTCCCTGCTGTGTGACCTTGGGCAGGTCCGTAGCCCTCTCCGAGCCTTGGTTTCCCTCTTCTGTGAAAAGAGACTAAAAAGCATGTGTGTGAGGATTGAGTGAGTCAGCTTCCACAAAGTAACTTTAAACATCTTTATGGAGTTCCCTTTTCTCAAGCAATGGCAAACTTCCCTAGCTTTTGCTCATTTTGCCAATCGCCAAGCCCGTCTCGAGGACGGAACCCTGGGCATGCTTGCTCCGAGGGGCTCTGGCTCCTCCTGCCACAGAGTTCTTGCGGGCGTCTCTCTTTTCAGAAGTGCCAGGAATGTTACTGGTCAGGTGTAAGATAGACATTGGGACAGAGGTATGAAGACTGCCCTGGCATGATTCTGGGGCTGGCACCGGCAGCAAAGGCAGTAGCCAGCCCTGCTAGGGCACAGCCAAATGCACCCACCCAGTGCTTCCTGGAAGCCCAGGTGTTCCCGGGGACTGCTAGGAAGCTCCAGGCGCACTCGCCCCGGGCTGCGGTCAGCTGGCCAGCAGAAAGGGGTCAGTAAGCATGTGTCCATTCACTGGACAGTGCTTGGCTGAGCATGGCCACTGTGCAGCGTGTCCTAACCACCAGGGACACAGCAGAGAACAAGACAGACCCGTGTAGTGTGGTGAAGGGTGACTGACGTAAAGCTGAAGGCACACATTGCGACAGGGTTTCAGAGGATGAGGAGCGGCGTGCAGGAAATGAACATGGCGAAGAGCGGTGGTCAGGACAGCCTCTCTGAGTTGCTAACGTTGAGCTGAGACCTGAATGGCCAGAAAGTGCCAGAATATCTGGGGGAAGGTGGTTTCATTGCACAGGTGAAGACGTGGGAACAGGCCTGGCCTGTTGAAGGTGGGAAAGGCAGACCTCTTCATTCAAGAGCACAGGGCATCCCAGGCTTTTGTCAGGATGCATCTTCTGGCACAGGGGCCTGTGAAATTTTGAGATCCCCTGGAGAGGTTGGGAAGATCACGCCCATCAACCAGCGCTACCTGAAAAGTTTCCAGGACCTGGTGATAGGAATAGGACTTCTTAGCTGAAACAGCTGGGCTGCTCCCCAGGTGCACTGCAAACTGCATACTGACCTGCGTGCTCCCTCTCCTGACTGAAAGGTGCAGAGCCAGGCTGACATGCTCCCTGTGCAGTGTCCGACGGCTCCCCCTACTCCTTCTCTTTAGTCAGGGTTCCTCCCAGTTCCTTCACTCTGTTTTTTAAATTGCCAGTTAGAACTCATTTTCTTTCCTCTTTTTTTTTTTTTGGAGAAAGACTCACTCCATAGCCCAGGCGTGGTCTCAGCTCACTGCAACCTCCACCCCCCAGATTAAAGCGATTCTCATGCCTCAGCTCCCCGACGAGCTGTGATTACAGGCGTGCACCACAACACCTGGCTAATTTAGGTATTTTTAGTGGAGACGGGTTTTGCCATGTTGGCCAGGCTGGTCTCGAACTCCTGACCTCAAGTGATCCCCTGCCTTGGCCTCCCGAAGTGTTACGATTACAAGAATGAGCCACTGTGCCCGGCCAGGACTCCTTTTCATAGCAGGCCTGCCCATGCACAGCATAAGGGAGTCAGCTGACCTGCCCTTAGCCATGGCCCTACCTGACTTCCAGGGCTGTACCACATCCATCTCGTGGGGGCAAAGCAGCAGCTGGCTGCCTCTCCTGGGTATCTGAGCAGCCGGAGATTCCTGGGGAACAAGGAGTGCTGCCGATGAGTGTATTAAAAAATCAAACTCAGCATGAATGCTTTCTCTGTGCGAAAAGTCTTTGTCCTCAGAGAGACTGGCAGCACGAAAAGGCTCTTAGCAATTACCTCATCCAGGAAACCAAGAGCTATTCCCAGACGGAAGTGACCTGCCCAAGGTCTCATGGTAGGTACTGCCAAATACTCCCCCAGTGAGGCCCTCCAACACCTCCAGGCCATCAGCCAGCCACGTCTCTATTGCACAGGTCAGGGGCCAGGCTGCCTGAGGCTTGAGCCCAGACTAAGTGGACACTCGGACTTAACAATTTTTCTGCTTTACAATGGTGTGAAGTGACACTTGTTTAGTACTCTCCTCGACATACAATGGGGTTGCGTCCAAATGAATACATCGTAAGTTAAAAATACTCTTAAGTCGTTTTTTACTTAGGGTACAGTGGGCTTATTAAGATGTAGCACCATCGTAAGACGAGGAGCGCCGGCATATAACACGTGTGGGGTTAAACCCCAGCTCACGACTCACTCGCTCTGTGATATAGGGGAAATTTCTTCTCCTCTCTGTGCCTCCGCTTTCTCATCTATGAAGTGGGCATGATAATGGTTGTGCCTATCTGAACAGGGTGGCTGTGAGTGCTCGGTGAGCTCACACATGTATTACACACGAGTGCTGCCGGGCACACGTGAATCTATTCCAGGCTACAGATGACATCAGAAATAGTTGTGAAGAGGGTCTATTTTCCAGGAGGAGAAATCCAGCGGGTTCTGGTGTGACCTGCCCCTTGTCCTCAGTCTTTACCAGGAAGCCATGGTGGACACTGTTGGCTGACAGCTTCTGTCCTTCCATGCACAGGCGCCGGTGGTCCTGAGCCGAGATCACCATGACGTGAGCGGCACCGACAGCCCCTTTAGGGAGACCTCCAACATTTACGACGGCTCTGCCTTCTGTGCAGGTGAGGAAGATGAGAATGTCTTAAACTTTCATCTTAGATTTGGATTTTATTAAAAATTGATGCATTTAGTCAGTCACAATGTTTCGAAAGATGTTCTGGCACCTGAGAGGCTCGGCATAGAGTGACCAACCCAGGACTGAGGGGGTCTGGGATGTGGGACTTCCAGTTGTAAAACCGGTAAGTGCCAGGCACACCGGGCCAGCTGGGTGCCCTGGACTTGGGTGACCTACAGGCTGTGGGCAGCCAGCTGTTTCCTTACCTTTCCAGATCCTAGAGCTGCATTTCTTGCCTTTTTTGGCTCCTGGTCTCTTCCCCATCTTCATAGCTGAGCACCAAGAGGAGGGGGATATTCTTAGGGTTCTCCCTGATCTTCTCTGTGGCACCCATTGGGATTTTTGGGGGAAGAGCCTGCAAGAGGGTGCAAACGCCTTTACCGCTGTCTACCCAGGGGCTCACGGTCTCAGGCTGGCCTGCGCCTGTCCCTTAGCAATGTGTTGCACACTTATAAGGTGACCGGCTTGGGCTCTGTTTCTCTCTGCAGATGCTCTCAGTCCCCAGGTTTCAGGTTGGATGGTTGTCCTGGGACCTCAGTTCCCTAATGGGGTCAAGGGAAGCCTATTATTTGCAGTTTGCTCCTCTGCCCCCCTTTTTAAGAATATGAGTGACTCTCTTTGGCACTCTACTTCTCTGAACTAACACTGTTTCCACATCCCTTTTAATTCTTCTGTTCCCTCTGCTTCCGGAGTGCTTTAGCTGGTGCCCAGTGCTGGAGAGCGCCACCATGGGACAACTAGACGTGTGTCAGTTTCTCCCACTCTAGCTCCAGCTCTGCCAGCACACACGACTGCTGCTGTGAGAGGCCCTGTCCCTAGGGCCTAGTTGCCGCCCCATCCTTCTGGCCTAGCAGTGCTGGCTTAGCCAGCGAGGCTGGCCTGACTGAGCCAGGTGCCCACCCAGTGCAGGGGGTGATGAGCAGAGGCGTCTCTATTTCCGCAGACATGGCTGTGCAGAACTTCGTGGGAGATGCCTGTCGCGGAGCCACCTGGGTCGCCCTTCACAACGGAGGGGGCGTGGGCTGGTAAGAAGGTTTCAGAGGACAGGGTGTGGGCTGATGTGGAAGTTTTGGGGGTTCCTTTGGGGCAGGGCCAGGCTGAGGTTCCTGAAGTCCTGGGCCCTACCTCCCTGGTCACCTCCCCTGCCCTCACCTTTGTGGAAAATGTGTTCCTTGCGTGAGCGGAGACAGTTGACAGAACTTCAGGAGAGGACTTGCATTAGCCACCCCACCTCTCTGGGTCTCCCCTGCCACATGGGTCTCAGGGGCCTCTTAGGCTCTGCAAGAATGGCAGCCGCCTTCCTCATGTCAGTTTCCAGTGTGCAGTTAGTTTCCAGCATGTCAGTTTCCATGTGTTCCCATGGAATTCCCGGCGCTTTCATGGCCAGGGTCTTCTCCTTCCTGCTCTGACCACCTCACTTGAGAGTGCAAAACCCAGCCAAGGCTCCCAGGGCAGCTGGGCTGGGGGCAGGAGACCTGGTGTCTTGGTTCCCCTCTCCCCTCGGCTCCCAGCTCTGCCCCTGCCCGGCTATTCTCTATGAGAAAAGCTCCCCAGATCTGGGCTCCTGGTTGAAGCTGGATTCTGGGCTGCGGGGAGCAGCAAGGGGTGCTGCAGCTTCGGAGGGAGGACAACGCCCCCTGCCTGGCTCCAGTGGCCATCTCCAAACTGGCCTCTGAGCCTATTTTGGCCGGATCTAGTGGTCCCCTGCCCTCCAGAGCCAAGTCCCGGTGGAGCATTCCGACAGGCTGGCTTGGCCTCGTGTCCTTGGAGGCTGCAGTTCCGCACTGCGGCAGTCAGGTGGCTGTAATTAGAGGAAAATGTGACTGAGGCTATGTCCTTTCCAACACAGGGGCTATAGAAAGCTCCGGGCAGAAAAGGGCTGCCTGGCTATTGGGTACCTGGCATTTCTGCACAGGATTTCCTGAGTCATTTCCGGAGGGGAAGAGAGTGGCTCTGAAGGAGGCTGAGCAGTTTGCCCAGGGCCACAGAGCTGGCGATGGAGCCACGGTCTGACCCCAGGTTCCCCAGGATCCATTATCATTGCTGACAGACAGCCGAAGGCAGGCCGAGGAAGAGTGCACACCCTCAGGGCCTTAGGGCAGGGACAGCAGGGCCAGAATTCAGGCAGCCCTGAGGGCAGGCCTCCCCAAGACAGGAAATGCTCCCTGCAAATTCCTAAGTTGCTCCCCCAAGGTTTCCCCCAGACTCTGTGGACAGGGACACAGACTGACCAGACACTGGGACCTAAAACCTTTTACCCTGCTGCCCTTGAGGGGTGTTTTGGGAAAGTGCCACAAATTCATCCTGGGACCCATCACACTTACACATGTACATAATCTAACCCATCGGAAAAAATGTCTATCCCTCAACCATGGCTACTCCAAAGGGACGCCACTCCCAATTCTGTCTCCACCGTGGCTACTCGAAAGGGATGCCACTCCCAATTCCATCCCCACCGTGGCTACTCCAAGGGGACGCCCCACCCCCCGCAACTCTGCAGCAGTTTCTCTTTCCTGCGCATTGATCCCTGTTTCCAGGCTGTGCGCTCACCCTCACATTCCTGGACCGAACTTCCCATGTTTCCACTTGTCTGTTGGCTCCACTCCAGGACAACCAGTGACAGCTGTGTGTTGTTTCTAGCCTCCTCTGTGCCACTGTCTCCTGCAGCCCCTCTTCCTGATTGCCCATTTGCCGTCTGTCTTTGTGCCATCTGCCCAGCGCTCACGTTTAAACAGGGCACTACTTGGCTGGCTGCAGCCCTGCATGCTCAGGTGGACGTTTGGACCGCAGGCTGCAGGACAGAGCCATCTGGCTGGGCCACAGAGTGCAAGAGATCAAGACAAGAGCCAGGCTCTTGTTCTTGGGTTGGTTGGACCTCAGAAAAGACTTTTCTGATCTCCTTTCCCTATTGGGAGGACCCAGTCAGAGGGGTGAGGCCTCCCTGTTGGTGCTGCGGCCTCACATGTGAGAGGGTCAGTTCCAGTGGCCACCGAGGGCCCACTCGGGCAGCCTCTAGGCAGCAGGTGGGTGGGCATCTGGGAGCCCACCTCAGGTGAGCAGGCTTCCAGCCGGTGTTTCCAACTTTACCTCTGCTCTTGCCCTCCTTCGGAGCCCCTTGGTGCTGACCACCAGCTCCTGAGGTTCCCTGGGTCCTGGGGCGCCGATGGATTCTGCCGGTCCCTCCCATGGCCACACTGCGCTGGAGCTTTCTGATGCCTGCCTCCAGCTTTCAGAATCCCATCACCCATTCTCCTGTCCCTTTCTCCTCATCCTTGTGGGTTAAATAATTCCTCTGCAGTTTTGTTGGTGAGATGCAGGAGGGGCAGGGGTAAATGGCTGTGTTCTATCCACCATCTATTATATATCTGGATACTGCCACTTTTTCACACTAAACAATGTCTTACAGTGCATCTGAAACTTGAATGTGCACAGAAATCCTCTGGGGATATCATTAAAATGCAGATTATTGTATAGGCGTGCACCACCAGGTCTGAGTCAGGCCTAGTGGTGCACGCCTATAGTCCCATCTACTCAGAAGGCTAAGGCAGGAGGATTGCTTGAGCCCAGGAGGTTTGAGTAAAGCCTGGGAAACATAGTGAGACACCCTCTCTACCAAAAAAAAATAAATAAATAAATGGGGAACAAAGAAAAAAAAGCAGGTGTGGGGTGGAATGGAGATTCAGCATTTCTAGCAAGCTCCTGGTGACGCTGATCCTCTGCCCCGAGGACCTCTCTGAGTAGCCAGGGCTTCCAGGGCCCTGTCTGTGCACACAGCCCTCCCCCACCCACCCACACGCCTTCTGCCCATGTGCAGGGGATGATGCCCCGATGGACAGCCCTGGAGTGCCATGATTGACAGCAGTTCTCAGGCCATCTGCCTGCACAGGGTAGCCTTGCTGTGCCTTTGTTTCTCAATGAGAAAATAAGCATAATAATAACAACTGCCTTGTAGGCTAGGGGTGAAGAGGAAATGAGCTGATGATAGCGAACGCTTGTAGAGTGTTAACATGTGCAAGGCCTTCTACACTATTCATGTATGTTAACTCATCGAATCATGCACTTTAATACATCTGGCATTTATGTTTTTCTACTTTCATGTTTTTCTCAAAGGTATAGTTAGTTGTTCCAACACCATTTGTGAGTTACCTCAAATTCACCATTAATAGCAATGTGTTAGCGTTCCCATTTTCCTGGGATCTGCAAGTTCAGAGTTCCTCTGTGGTCAGTTTGCCAAGGTCACCTGAAGCTGAGCGGCCTTGGTCTCTGACCCTCTGGGATGCAGGCTTCTAAAACAAAATCTGTAGTTCTAATCTCCAAGAGGCCTCTCTAGCTGCAGGACACTGGGAGTGCTCAGGCCTGGGCATGGCTGTTGCTCCTCTGACAGATGAATGGTAATGACCTTAGATCGACTTGGAGCACCTCCCACCTGGAGGCTGGTGGGAGGTGTGAGGGCAACCCACTGCAGGCCATGGACTGCCCAGGTGCAGGGATGCAAGTGCAGGGTGGTAGGCAGCACAGCTGGCTCACTTGCAGGAGGGGTGCAGCTTCTGGGACCAGGAATGGGGAGTGTAGGTGGCTGCAAGGGGCACAGGGCACCTCTCACTGGCTTCCTGGTGAGAACTGGCTGAGGTTGTGGTCAGTAGGATTCAGGCTGGGCAGAGAAGCAGGGAAAGCTGGATGGGCCTGAAGGATTTGAGACAAGGGAAACTAGATGCACATTTTGCATGCTGGAAGAAAAAGGAACAGATATACTGCAAGTGAGGAATAAGAGGCAGGAGGGACACATTTGCAACAACACAACGACAGGCGTTTACAAAATTAAGGGTGCTTCTTGTGTAACTGAAAGCTGAGAAGACTGAGCAGGAGCCAAGGCTGGATGCTTCAAGGGCAGCAGCTCGTAGGTGAATGGCTGAGGATGGGGAAGGTCATCCCAGGCTGATGGGGAACAGCTCCAGTGCACATGCATGGAAGCAGCAGCAGAGCTTCAACACAGTTAATGAAGTTCAACTCATCTACTAGGAAACAAATGAAACCAAGAACATATCAAAAACTGTTAGAAGGAGAGAAATGCATTAATTAGAAAACCAGAAATATTGAAAATAAAGGAACTTAGCCTTCAGATCAAATAATCAGAAGGACCCCCCATACACTTGAGGCAAGCAGAAAGAAGAGATAAGGAAGATAAAGATCATAAGGATAAAATCAGGTGGGGGCACAGTGGCCCATGCCTATAATCCCAGCATTTTGGGAGGTCGAAGCAAGAGGATTGCTTCAGGCCAGGATTTCATGGTCATCCTGGGCAGCATAGTGAGATACCATCTCTAAAAAAATATTTTTTTTAAAGATAAAACCAGAAAGAGTGATGACTGAATTGAGTAATACAAGACACACCAAGGGGAGTGTGCTTTATAGGGCAGCACTCTGAGAATGCAGGGAGGGGGCAGCTATAGCCCACTGGGGGTACCCAGGAGGTTTCCATCAAGGGATGACCTCCAATGGGTGGTGGAAGTGGGCACGAGGCCGACAGGCCCAGCACAGGGGGCACAAGTGGGCAGAGAGGTGGCAGGTAACCACGCTGCTCCCAGCTGTGCTTGCCTGCACGACTCCTGCATCCACCAGGTTGCAGAGGCTGGCGGTGTGGCGGCCCCAACCCTGACGCCGTCTCAAGCCAATGCTTCCAAAACATGGGCTTCTGCCTGCTCTGTGCAGTGTTGGGCCCCAGGAATGAACTGGAAACTCCTCTGCCTCCTGCAGGGGTGAGGTGATCAACGGGGGATTCGGCCTCGTGCTGGACGGTACCCCGGAGGCCGAGGGGAGAGCCAGGCTGATGCTCAGCTGGGATGTCTCCAATGGTGTAAGTCAGCCCAGTCCTTGCCACCTCCTGAAGGCAGGGCCTTCAGCTGGGTGATCCCCATCCACGTTTGCTGTCATACAGCATCTCCTGGGTGTGGGGATGGGGGCCGGATTCCTCTCATGACCACAGCACAGCAGCCAGGAAGGGGGAATCAGCTCAAATGGAGGTCAGGTCAGGTGATGATGGGGAGACAGGTGGGACCCAGAGAATGAGGGGAGGCTTGGAGCAAAGGCGGGAGTTCAGACAGCTTGGGTGACTGAAAGCCCCTGGGCTGGGCCCGGAGCGTGAGCATGAGGACAGAGAGGGTGCTGGCAGGAGACTCACCCCATCTCACCGGGAGCTGCAGGGCTTCTGGCGGAGCTGGGGATGGAGGTCTTCATCCCAGAGCAAGAGGTTTTGTTCTAGGAGATGCCCCGGCTGTGGCATGGAAAAGTGGGTTGGGGGCAGGTGTGGTGACTGTGTGGAAGGCGGAGGCGGGGGTGGCAAGAATGGCAGAGGGGAATGGGGGAGGAGGCGTGGCATCATCCAGGGGAGACCAGGTGGAGGGAAGAAAGAGGACTGCAGGGACATTGTGAAGGTAGAGCTCAGGCTGAGGTGGATTCTAGAAGGGAGGGAGGTGCTGCGGAGGACTCAGGAGGCAAGGCCATTCTTGGAGCTGGGGGAGCAGGACTGAGTGTGATGACCGCCAGTTTCAGATCCCAGAGGAGGGCCAGAGACAGGGAGCCTAAGCTGGGGGTGGAAATGGGGCAGACACAAAAGGGCAGCTGTCCCCACGGACAGCCTCAGAGGTCCCGAAGCAGAGAGGCCCCAAGTGTGGGAGCCAAGACTCACGTGGGGAGCCCGGTTATGTTGACATGGACTGCTATCCCCCTCCTTGCCCTAGGTGGCCCGGCGCTGCTGGTCAGGGAACCAGAAGGCCTATGAGATCATCTGCCAGACCATGCAGGAGAACAGCACCTTGGTGGTGACACTGCCTCACAAGGTGGAGGACGAGCGGGTGCTCCAGCAGGCCCTGCAGCTCTGAGGGAGCCAGGAGTCGCGGCCCCTGCCTCCCTTCCTCCCTGGCGATCCTCACCTGCCCAGCCATGGCACACACCCTTCCTGCACACCCGCACTACCTGCACTTCTCGCACATCCTCACGTGGCCCTTATGGTGCCCTGTGCAGGGTGCCACCACAGCCTCATTTTACAGACAGCCCCCTGAGGCCCAGAGACATGCAGCTCTCTGTCCACAACCATGCCACTTGCATGGGAGCCCTGAAGGCTGTCAAAGTCCATTTAGGGCCAAGTCCCAAGCCTGCCCGGGGGCCCTGCGGTGAACACTGGTCAAGCTCTCTCCGGCTGGGATGATCACACCCTCTGCTTCCTGGCCACCTGCCAGCCTCCATGCAACTCTGTCTGTCTGCTGCCCATCTGCTGTCTGTGCAAGCAACTTCTGGACCCTGGCACCCTGGGCTGCTGGCCTGGAGGAGTTCGGGAAGGAGGATAGACCAGGAAATAAAGGGTCAACAGAGCTGTGTGCTGCACTGTGGGCTGGTGGGACGGGCAGGCCGGGTCTGCCCTAAGGATAAATGATCACTTACTGGGGAAGAAATGAGAGAGCAGGGGCACCCCCCTAGGCCAGCACAGCCTGAGGGGTACAGCAAAGGGGACCCTTTGCTGGCCCCTGAGGCTGGAGTCTGGCACCCCTTCCCCAATCCCATAGCCCGGTAATGACTGGGTCCAGAGCCTCGTGAGAGGTCACCGGGATGGGGGAAGTGGCCTCTGTCAGGGCCAGGGCTCATGAATCTCATTCTCTTAGCTGGGCGTGCAACAGACCAACAGATAACTCATCCTAAACAGAGAAATGAGAAAGAGTCTGTGGGTGGGCCTCTGAGGGCCACAGAAAACCAGACACCCCACATGTCGGTGGATTGGAGAGGGGCAGGCCACTGCCCTCTCCAGGACCAAGCCGGGTTCTTGGTCCCCACCCTCCCTGCACTCCGCATCTCCTCCCCAGCAGCCATTCTCCCCTTTCCCTTGTGAACAAAAGCCTAGTTTTGTGTGGGCAGCAATATAGGGTAAATAAAACCACCTGATTCTCCAGCCTTCCTTGCTGTTAGGAGGGACTGTTGGCCTAGTCCTGGCCCACGAGATGAGGGTGGGGTCTGTGGGGCAGGGCTTCTTGAGAGCCGTCGTTTTTCTAATAAAATGGACAGATCCAGCGGGGTTGCTTTTTGCCTTCGCCCCTTCGTCCTGCCAGAACCAAGATGTGGGGCCTGGAAACACAGCAACCAGGTTGGTCAGCTAGGGCGGCTGCCACATAATGTCTGGCACTGGGGCCCAAACAACAGAAATGAAACACATTTGCAGGCTGGAAGCCCAAGACCAGGTGCCAGCTGGCGTAATTCCTGGTGAGGCCAACTTCTCACTGCATCCTTCCATGGCAGAGACAGAGAGGGGAGAGTGTTACAGAGAGGGGCAGAGACAGAAAGACAGAGACAGAGAGGGGAGAGTGTTACAGAGAGGGGCAGAGACAGAAGGACAGAGACAGAGAGGGGAGAGTGTTACAGAGAGGGGCAGAGACAGACAGAGAGTCACAGAGAGAGACAGAGAGAGAGGAAGAGACAGAGAAAGAAAGAGATACAGAGAGGAAGAGACAGAGAAAGAGAGAGATAGAGAGAGTAAGAGACAGAGAAAGAGAGAAAGACAGAGATAGTGAGAGAGACAGGACAGAGTGTGTAGGGACGAATCGTCTGTCCCCACATCTCCATGAAAGCACCCTGCTGCATGGATCTGTGCACACATCTTAAGAGCGGGCCACAGGGCCCTGGCATCACCCTTTCCCCATCCAGCACCTTCCCTCTTGAAGGACAGGGAGGGCTCTGGTGGCTTCCAGCTGCACACAGACCCCAGACCCCCTCTGGGCTCCATACCAAGCCATGCCAGGGAGCAAGCTACTTCCCTGGCCCCTGCATGCCAACCTGCTGTCTGCTGCTGCAGTGGTAAGTGACAGCTGACTCCCACGGGGCTCACAGCGGAATTGGGGCAGCTGGTCACAGCTGTAGTCGCCATGGAAGGAACAGCGTGGCTTCTGATGTGCCCAGTGCCATCTTCTTTTTCAGAAGGCAAGGATGTATAGTCCAGTTAGAAATGTTTTCATCAAAATGATTAAAAGAGAAACCAGTTGGCCATGATGAGTGTAGGGTTCAGTTGCCTTAAGAGTTGGAGGTGAGAAAGGCTCAGGCCCTGCAGTACAGCATTAGGGTCCTCCCCCTGGGCAGCGCCTGCTCTCTGCAAACCCAGGGTCCCTGGGAACTGTATGCTTTCCTTGCTGGCAAGCCAAGGTCAGGGAGGGAGGGCCTGGCTGAGTGATGCACTCTCCCATTCCAGTTTTCCCAGAGTAGACAACCACACAGGGGCCTGTGGGCCGGGCATGACCTGCAGTTATGTTTTATTTATATATTTTTTAGAAATAGGATCTTGCTCTGTCACTCAGGCTGGAGTGCAGTGGTGCAATCATGGCTCACTGTAGCCTTGAACTCCTGGGCTGAAGTGATCCTCCTGCCTTAGCCTCCCAAGTAGCTGGGACCACAGGAGCACAGCACTACACTCAGCCTGCAGTTGTGTTTTGTTTGGTCTGTCCTGTTTTTAAAAAAATTTGACTTTGTCACCAATGTTTACAAATTGGGAGAAATCCAGAGCTTATTTTTTGAAAATCAAGATATAAGGTAACACCATGTTCTCACCACCTCTGTGGCAGTGATTTGCTGGGGGCCCCTCTGGGCTGGCCTAGCTCTCTGCACTTGGCCACAGTCCCTTCCAGTCCCTACAGAACCCATGGTGAGGCGGAGCGTGTATGCTGTTTGTCCCTTGGCATGAGAGTCTATGTTTCCTGTGCCCACCTGTCTCCCACATTTGTGTGACTTGTATGACCTCTGCTGGGATTTGAACTTGTGACCTTTGACAAAGAGATGCTCTTTTGCTCCCAGTGAACCTCATCCCCACTCCCATCAAAATTTGGGAATCCTGGACACTTCTCTGTTAGCAATCTCAAGATCCACATGATGCCTTTTAGCCCAAAAGAGGTGCTGGACATCCAGCGATACCTGGGCTGATGGGATTTCTCCCCAGACACAAATAAATCTGAGCGTGCATGCGTGTGTCATCTGCGTCCCTTCCCCTGGCTTCTCCAAAATCCTTTCCACACAGCCTGGAGAGTACAGGTCTGGCTGGCCAAGGCACAATCTCTGTGGTCCTTGTAATTTGGGGCACTCCTTTGAGACTACCAAGTTCAAGTCTCTGCCTGAGCCCCACTGGATGACCACATTGAGCTGACTCAAGCCCACCTGGTGAAGTGGCGCGTCTGACCCTCGCCAGGAGTCCTGTTGCTCCTTTCAGGGTATCTCAGCAGAAGGCTGAAACAACCTAGTATCTGAAACAACCTAGTATCAGATTTGAGCTTTGGTTGGGTGGGGGAGTCTTAGGAAGCGGGGATTTGCTCTGGATTGGCTCTTACCAGAAATCGGGTCAACACCATGACTAGGTTTCTGACTAAATCCTATATACAGAGAGGGAAGCACACAGACAGACAGGCTGTCAGGGGTACAAAAGCGGCGGCTGCTCACGTTAGCTGAGAGAGGGGCTGCTGGGTATCTTGTAAATGGCACAGCAAGTGACCTCGCTTTATCTGGGTGGAGACACATCATGAAGTGGCCTTGCTTTGTCTCATGTCATTGTGTTTCAGTGACCTTGGCCTAGGTTGGTTTTCTGCGTGATGGTTCAAGTCTTACAGAACAGAGTGGCCCAGCTGTAGCACCCGGCCAGTTTCTGGATGGCAGGGGCTGCCCTTTTTCTTTCTCAGTCCCCTTCATTTTACACATGAGGAAACTGAGGCACAGAGAAGTTGTGATAGTTTAAAAATGGCTGCAAATTCTTTCCAGCACCTCCCATTGAGAGGTGGAGTACAAGTTCCCCTTGCCTGGGTCTGCAGTGTCTTATGACTTCTTTGATCACGAGAATGTGGCATAATCAATGCTGCGCAACAAGTTGGGCATGGTGGCATATGCCTGTAGTCCAGTTAATTGGGAGGCTGACCCGGAAGGACTGCTTGAGGCCAGTTGGAGGTCGCACTATGATTGCACCTGTGAATAGCCACCACACTCCAGCCTCAGCAACACAGGGATGGACTTGCTGGGTCATGTGGAGATTATGTTTAGCTTTCTGCAGAACTGCCAAACTGTTTTCCACACCGCAACGTTATACATTCCCACCAGCCATATGTGAGAGTTCCAATTTTTCTATATCCTGTTTTTAAAAAAATTACCACTATTTGAGTAGGTGTGAAGTTGTATCTCACTGTGTTTTGATTTGCATTTCCCTAATGATTCGTGATGTTGAGCCTCTTTTTATTTGCTTATTGGCTGTTTGTATTATCTTCTTTGGAGAAATATGTCTATTCAAACCTTTGCCTTTTAAAAAAGTGGACTGTTTGTCTTCTTGCTAAGAGTTCTTTATATATTCCAGATAGTAGATCCTTATCAGATATTCGATTTGCACACCCTTCTCCCATTCTGAGTTGTCTTTTCACTGTCTTATTGGTGTCCTTTTACCTGAGTAAGTTTTTAATTTTGATGAAGTCCAAGTTATCTATTTTTCTTTCTTGTGCTTTCAATATTATATCTAAGAAACTATTCCCTAATCCAGGGTCACATAGATTTACACCTACTTTTCTTCAAATAGTTTTATGTCTTACGTGTAGGCTTTTGCTCTAATTTGAGTTAATTTTTGCCTCTGATGAGAGATACACGTCCAAATTGGTTCTTTTGCATGTGGAGATCCAGTTGTCCCAGTGCCGCCATTATTGAAATGACTATTCTTTCCTCTACTGAATGGTCTAGGAACAATATGTTTTCGGCATAAACTGATATATATAATAGATGTATCCTATTCTTTTTAATATTATAATTTGTGTTACTTAAAAAAATACTCTTAATAATAAAGCATTCATGTATTTAACAAATATGCACCAAGAGTCTTCCTGGGCACACACAGTGAATAGGACACAGTTCCTGGGCTCCAGGAGCCTACATTCCAGAGAGGGAGAGACAGTGAAGGAGCAGGGAAGGAACTCAACAAAACAACGGGTGATGAGAGCTCTAAGAGCAAACAGATCAGACAGAGGTGGGAATACGGGACTGGGTAAGCATGTGCTTTGGATCAGAAGGGGCGCAGAGTCCTCCCAGAGGAATCAGAGATCAGCTGCGCCAAGTCTCTGAGGCTGGAACCAGCTTGGCTTGCTGGATGAACTGGGAAAAAGAGGTGGGGTGCGGGGGAGGGGTGGGGGGGGCAGCGGGAGAGTGGCGGGAAGTGAGGGCAAACAGGTAGGGGAGGGTAGACTAGCAAGGCCATAGGCGCCTTCGGGAGCAAGGTGGAGGTGAGCATAATTTGATGTGCAATTTTTAGATCATAAAACGGTGCCCCGTGGATGGGAGCGAGTGGAGCGGAGGGAGACCGATGACCAGCTAGTAGTTATTTTTCAGGTACCCAGGAATAAAGTGCGGGTTTGGATCTGAGTGGTGGTGAAGTTGAAGTGGAGGAGTCCAGATTGAATGCGGAGGTGTACGGTGAGGTGGGGGAGGGTGAGGACCGGAAACAGTAAGTAATTAAGCTGTTGCAGAGTGAGGTTGTGCCAAGTTTAGTAGGAAATACAGTTGGAAATACAGGCAGGGGTCCTGCGTATCAGGGAGGCCCCGTGTGCCGAGCAAGGACCTGGGCCAAAGCAAACGAGGTCTGTGCGCCAGCGGCGGCAGGCGAGCTTGCACTTAAGTGAGCTGGGGGTAGGCGTCCGGCCTGTTGGACAGGTTCGAATCCTGGATCTGCCGGCTGCCGAGTGACTCGAGCTCGCCGTCCCTGTTTCCTCACCCCTGGGTGACCGCGCACGCTTAATCAGCTCGGACAGGTACAGCCCCTGGGACGCAGTCAATGCCTACGAGAGGTTGCCTGTTAAGTGTCTGAAATATTAATACGATTCGAAGTCAAGACAAGCCTCGTCTTCCACGCCAGCGGGAACGAGAAGGAATCGCTCAGCGTTGGGAGCCTCACCCCGTCCCCTGTCGGTCCCGTGCCCCGCCGCTCGCCCTCGTAGGTGCCGGCGCTCCGCCCCCCGACCCCGCGCCCCGCCCCCCGACCCCGCGCCCCGCCCCCCGACCCCGCGCCCCGCCCCCCGACCCCGCGCCCCGCCCCCCGACCCCGCGCCCCGCCCCCCGACCCCGCGCCCCGCCCTAGTCGGTCCCGGCGCCCCGCCCCCGCCTCCGCCTCCGGCGCCCCGCAGCCCAGCCTCACGTCACGTCAGCCCAGCAGGCCTCGCGCATCGCCCGGCGGCGTCCGCGCACGCGCGGTTCCGAGCCGGACTCTACGCCGGGGCTTGGCGCGGATCGCGTCCCGGGGCGGCGCACGCACACCTGGGCGGGGCGCGGGCAGCTCTGCGTCCGAAGCTGCTCCGACGCCGTCGCTGGGACCAAGATGGACCTCCCGGCGCTGCTCCCCGCCCCGACTGCGCGCGGAGGGCAACATGGCGGCGGCCCCGGCCCGCTCCGCCGAGCCCCAGCGCCGCTCGGCGCGAGCCCCGCGCGCCGCCGCCTGCTACTGGTGCGGGGCCCTGAAGATGGCGGGCCCGGGGCGCGGCCCGGGGAGGCCTCCGGGCCAAGCCCGCCGCCCGCCGAGGACGACAGCGACGGCGACTCTTTCTTGGTGCTGCTGGAAGTGCCGCACGGCGGCGCTGCCGCCGAGGCTGCCGGATCACAGGAGGCCGAGCCTGGCTCCCGTGTCAACCTGGCGAGCCGCCCCGAGCAGGGCCCCAGCGGCCCGGCCGCCCCCCCCGGCCCTGGCGTAGCCCCGGCGGGCGCCGTCACCATCAGCAGCCAGGACCTGCTGGTGCGTCTCGACCGCGGCGTCCTCGCGCTGTCTGCGCCGCCCGGCCCCGCAACCGCGGGCGCCGCCGCTCCCCGCCGCGCGCCCCAGGCCTCCGGCCCCAGCACGCCCGGCTACCGCTGCCCCGAGCCGCAGTGCGCGCTGGCCTTCGCCAAGAAGCACCAGCTCAAGGTGCACCTGCTCACGCACGGCGGCGGTCAGGGCCGGCGGCCCTTCAAGTGCCCACTGGAGGGCTGTGGTTGGGCCTTCACAACGTCCTACAAGCTCAAGCGGCACCTGCAGTCGCACGACAAGCTGCGGCCCTTCGGCTGTCCAGTGGGCGGCTGTGGCAAGAAGTTCACTACGGTCTATAACCTCAAGGCGCACATGAAGGGCCACGAGCAGGAGAGCCTGTTCAAGTGCGAGGTGTGCGCCGAGCGCTTCCCCACGCACGCCAAGCTCAGCTCCCACCAGCGCAGCCACTTCGAGCCCGAGCGCCCTTACAAGTGTGACTTTCCCGGTAACCGCGCTCTCGGGGGCGGGCGGGCTGCGCGGTGTTGCAGGCAGGTCTGGGGTGCCACGTCCGCCCCACAGAGGGGCCTGCCAGACCTTAGCAAGCCGGGGACGCAGGCTCTTCGGGATTTGTATTCTAGCTCCTTCCATGTCATTCGATTTGAGATCTTGGCCCTGCCCTGCCGCAGGGATTCCGATGGCAGGTAGCGCAGATCACCACAGCTGCGCTTCCCAAAGGTGGCGGCAACAGATATCCTTAACCTGCTTGTGCTTGATGAAAGCGGCACGCATCTTCACAGAGTGGCACGGAGCTATGTGTCAGGTCTTTATTTTCCTCAGTCTCGTCATTTGTTTACGGGGTGCACACTCCGTGCTAGAGGAGCAGAGATGAATGTGGCCAGATTCAGGACCTTAACACGCTGGGAGGATAGCCACAGGTGTGCGCACATCCTGGCTTTTTTTGCCTTTTGCACTTTGATTTCCGTTGAACCTCACAGTTTTGTGAAGTTTTAAAAATTAGCCGTCTGTGAAGGTTAAAAACTGTCCTCTTTTACAGATGAAGAGACAGAGGCCGAGCCTTGTGGATAAAGTCCACTGCTGGTGGCTGGGCGCGGTGGCTCACGCCTGTAATCCCAGCACTTTGGGAGGCCGAGGCGGGCGGATTACGAGGTCAGGAGATCGAGACCATCCTGGCTAACACGGTGAAACCCCGTCTCTATTAAAACTACAAAAAATTAGCCGGGCGTGGTAGCGGGCGCCTGTAGTCCCAGCTACTCGGGAGGCTGAGGCAGGAGAATGGTGTGAACCCCAGAGACGGAGCTTGCAGTGAGCCGAGATCGCGCCACTGCATTCCAGCCGGGGCGACAGAGCGAGACACCGTCTCAAAAAAAAAAAAAAAAAAAAGTCCACTGCCTGTTCTTTCTCCTGTGTGTTGACCTGCAGTTGTTGGGAATGTAGGACTCCAACACAGTGAGCTCTTCACCAGGATGGGCAGCTTTCCCTGCTTTCACAGGGATAGGGTTCCTCCAGAAGGGCAAGAAAGGATTCCTCCCTGGAAAGGCAGAAGAATGGAGTCGGCTGGGTGGCAGAGCCCAGGTGGGGATTGTGGTCTGTGGTGAGGGCCCAGGAGGAAGGACCAGTCATTCAAACAGAAACTGGAATGTGTGCCTAGCATGCCCCTAACCTGTATATGCACACGGCTCTCCTTATAATGTCCTTAAACAAGAATTTTTAAAGGATGAGATGAGAATTATGAACGGGTTTTATTATTTTTTCCCTCGCATATGCCTGTGGACTGTCTTGCGCATTCCTCTTCAGAGAGAATGTGGCTTGAGGCCACTAGCTCAAAGTCTTTTTCAGTCATACACTCTTGGGAATCTGATGGTGGCTGTAGACCCTTTCCCTGCTAAAAGAGTATCATTCTGTGTATGACACTGGGAAGGTCAGGGATCCCGCCTGCTTCCAGGCATGAGGTCTCTTGAGGGTTTTGTGTTGGCTGATCCATGAGGCTTCTTGTGTTGAGATGAGATTAGATGGTTAGATGAGATTAGATGTTTAGAAGCAGGAGCAGGACCAGGGAAGCATCATCAAAGGGCCCAGACCTGAGTTTTCTGAAGGCCTGAGCCAGGGAGTGGGAATGATGAGGGTCTCTAGCAGGTGAGATTGCAGAGGGAGAACCAAAGGGTGTAATTATCTATGGGGGTGTGGGGGGTTCTTGCCAAGGCAGAGAGAGTCTGTGTTCAGATTTACATGACCAAGTGTGTGAACACACCGAAGCCCAAAATACCCTGGAGGTATTTTGGGACCAGATTGAGGCCAAAGATCAGCATTTCTGAGTTAGATGTTGCTGGGGAAAGTAGGGTTCCTTGGGCTGATACTTTTGGGCAGTGCTATGCCATGTACATCTGTGTGGCAGTTCATAGGCATGATAGTATCTCGTTAAAGGCTCCAAGAGGAGCTGCAGCAAAGACTCCTGTTAAACATCCTGCAGCCTCATGTTTTCCACCCTGTTGGAGCCCTGAATGTTTCTGTCGGAGGAGAAGTATTGCTGTGGAATTGTTGAGGCTTAGCTGCTTTGGCCAGGGGTTAGGATTGAGGTGAAGATTACAAAGCAGGGAACCTAAGGAAATTGCGAAAGGAAAAAGAATCCAAACAGCAAGGGACAGGGCTGGCAGTTGGAGGGTGTCAGGGAGGAAATTTGGATATGTAGAGGATGCAGCATCACCCCCAAGGGGTGAAAAATCCTGGCTAGTAGGATGATTTGTAGCCTTTCAAAGATCAACCCTACCAGACAAAATCTTGTTCCTTAGTATTTGATTTCTCTCATGGGGTTCTTGGGTCTCAGTGTGTGTGCAGGATCAGTGCTCCGGAGCCGGCCAGTAGATGGCTGTGAACGGAGGACTTTCTCTTTATCGGTTGCTCCATCTCCAAGTCATGTTGCAACAGGTGGCCAGCGTGTGCCTATTGGCTGCCATTAGCTGCCTTCCTGTGGTGATCACAAAGCCAAGCATTAATGGTCTTCCCTTTTTAGAGAGTGCTTCTGAGTCATGTTTTCCCTTGTCTGCTTCAGTGTGAACAGGGTCTGGTGGGTGTGACTAGCATTAGCTATGTTGTATAATTTTTGCCACGCTTTGAGCAGGGTTTGTGTTTTCCTTGTTCAGGCTGTGAGAAGACATTTATCACAGTGAGTGCCCTGTTTTCCCATAACCGAGCCCACTTCAGGGAACAAGAGCTCTTTTCCTGCTCCTTTCCTGGGTGCAGCAAGCAGTATGATAAAGCCTGTCGGCTGAAAATTCACCTGCGGAGCCATACAGGTAATGAGCTAGGGAACGCACAGCATTTGGACCCAAGATTTGTCTTCATCGTAGCTGTTGGAGTTGTAAATTTTATGCTGTATAATTTTTTCTTTTATAAGGTGAAAGACCATTTATTTGTGACTCTGACAGCTGTGGCTGGACCTTCACCAGCATGTCCAAACTTCTAAGGCACAGAAGGTAATCCTTACATTTTGGTTTGCATTATCAGGTTTGAAAATGAGTGGTTTGTCAGCAGCAGAAACCAATGAATGAAATATCTGTAGACATTTTTTAAGTTGTTAAAAAAGGAGCTCAGTGTTGATGATTTGGAAAATTCAGAAAACTGTAAAAAGAAAATTGCTCAGAATCTCATCACCTGAAGTCAGTTTTTTCTGTGTATACTTTTTTTAAAAAAAGCTAAATTGGCATACTCTGTTCTTAAAAAAAAAACAATTCCAGGTTTTTTTTTTAACTTAACATTGTAGAATAAGCTTTCTTCATGTAATTACAAGTTTTCATGGTGGTAATGACAACCCTGGAGACTGTGTCCAGGTGACACTCAGCACTTTACATGTGTGTCTTCTACCTTCCCAACAACCTCAAAGCTAATGTTCTTATTCTCCCTGTTTTACAGTGAGACTCGGAGAGATTCAGTGGTTTTTCTGTACTTGCACAGCTGGGCTCTGAGGATTTAATATAAAAATGTCACTTAGGAAAAGACACAGTCTTTACAAGTTGGCTTAAGAGAGTCCTTTTGGCATTGCAGCTGATGCTCTGTGCACATTTCTCACGACCGTCTGTCGCTCGGAAAGCTTGTTGATCATTGGGGTTTCTAAACAATAGAAACACCTTCATCAATACATTTGGGACTCCACTGTTCTTAGATTAGCTTATATTAGATTGAAGTAGCATTAATTGTTTGATGTGTGACTCTGGGGTCAGCTTAGTCATTAAAGTAGAATTTTTATGGGGTAGCTAAATTGCAAATCTGCTCACATGGATTAAAGACAGAATTAAGATTTTCCGAAATGTACTGATCATTTTTGTAAATGCAAAGTTTGTGTTTTGGTATGTTTTGTAGAATTTTAAAGAATTATGGTGAGTTGTGTGAGGAATCACAGCTCCTTTATTTTTCTGTCTGGCAGGAAACATGACGATGACCGGAGGTTTACCTGCCCTGTCGAGGGCTGTGGGAAATCATTCACCAGAGCAGAGCATCTGAAAGGCCACAGCATAACCCACCTAGGCACAAAGCCGTTCGAGTGTCCTGTGGAAGGTAGATTTTAAAACATTGCTTTGAGCAGTAAACTAAGTGCAATGCCAACATTTATCCTGTTAAGTTTCCGTTGTTTAAAGGTAAATGTTAGCTGCTTAAAGACTGACTCAATATAAGTTGCAGCATTATGTTTACTTACCTCATTGAGTTAATTGTACTATTTTGGGAGCAGTGACTTGAGAATCAGACGCAGTTTGACTCATGGCCCTGATCCTCATTAGATCTGTGGCTCTAGTTAAGTTACCTGTTTAATTTGGTGGTCGTGAGGATTAGGTGAAATGTGGAAAATGCCTGTTTATCCATCTGGCATGGAGCTCGGACTCAGTAAATGGTAGGTACTTTTGAGATCACGTTTGAATTGTCACTCCAATCATTTTGTAATTGGAGAGCAGTAAAGCTAGACTGACTTTTTCTTTTTTTGTTTAATTTTTGAGACAGTCTTGCTCTGTCACCCAGGCTGGATGCAATGGTGTGATCTTGGCTCATTGCAACCTCTGCCTCCCAGGTTTAAGTGATTCTTATGCCTCAGCCTTCTGAGTAGCTGGGACTACAGGCGTATGCCACCACGCTTGGCTGATTTTTATGCTTTTAGTAGAGACAGGGTTTCACCATGTTGGCCAGGATGGTCTCAAACTCCTGACGTCAAGTGATCCACCCACTTTGGCCTCCCAAAGTGCTGGGATTACAGGTGTGAGCCACCACGCCCAACCTGACTTTTTAAAAGGTATAGTAGAGTGGTTTTTTCCTTTAAAACACTGAAGGCTCAGTTCATTTGCCAGAAATTGGCTGCGTGACCTGTGCGTGACTTGTGCGTGCTGGCCCTACTCTAGTTCTGCAGGTGCACTGGGAGGCAGTGAGCCAGGACACGTCGGGTGGTCATGGATTCAAAGTCTGGCTCTACCGCTCCCTAAAGTGGTGGCCTCAGTCAAGCTGCTTCTCTGGGCCTTGGTTTCCTTACCTGGAAGAGAGAATAATAAAGACCCATTTAAAGCTGAGCCTAGCTCTTAGAACATAATGAACATATATACAAGTGGTGTAACTGAGAAACAGTTCCTCCTTCCGTCAGAGTTTCAGCTGGAGGTGCAGACAGGGGAACAGGTAACATGTAGGGTGCTGCAGGGGCGCAGAGAGTTTCCCCAGACCGGGGTGAGAACGGCCTCGCGGTCAGCTGAAGAAGAGGGGAGAGCACCAGACACGTGCGTGTGGGTGTTGGAGGCGGAGTGGCCTGGGAGAGCCTCTCAGGGCCAGGAGTGGCAGGCTTGAGTGCTTGGGTGAGCGTATGATGTCATCATGTTTGAGTTGTGGCTTAGCCTGGCTTCAGGATTGAAAGCAGCCAGGGGTGTGGGGAGGTGGGATGGCCTGGACGGGGGCCTTAACAGTGGGAAAAGAGAAAGGGGCATCAATAGCAGAGGTGGGAGTTAGAAGTCACAGTATATGGTGATGGATTTGGATTTTAGTTGATGTCAGTGTGTCAGCTGAGTGGATTTGGAGGAAGCAGAGTTTGGTTTGGACATGTTGTGTTTTTGGTACCCTTGTGCGTCTAATGCGCAGAGGGCAGGGGATGTGCCACTGGTGCTGGGGAGAGCAGGCCAGGCAGGGAGCGAAGCAGACAGCACCCGAATCATCATTTAAGCCACAAAAGTGGATGAAATTCTCAAAGAAGAGTATAAATGGAGGAGAGTCAGGGTAGTGTAGTTGATCAAAAGCCTGAATTCTGGAGTCAGACTGCCTGGATTCGAGTCCTAAGTTTGCCACGTAAGTAGGTCTGGGGCCTCGGACAAACACTTGAAGCTCTCTGTGCCTCTTCCTTATCTGTAAAGTGAATAAAACCTCCCAGGGTTGTTGAGAAGGCTGGATTGGTTACTAAGTTTAGCGCATATGGAAAACATCAGTATATATGTCAGTTACTGTCGTTGTTGTGATTGCTGTTAGATTTTCTTAAAAAGGACCTAGGACAGAGCCCTGGGGCTGCCCCAGATTCCGGTGGAGTGGCTGGGACGGGTACTGGCAGGACCAGCAACAGCACAGTGGGGGTGGTGCTGAGGTGAGTGGGGAATGTGTGGAAGTGGGGGTCACCTGGAGTGCTAGGGTGAGCCAGGACCAGGGAACACATGCCTCGGTGCCACCTGCGGGGTTGTCTTGGTGTGCTGATGGATGAGGTTCCGTGGGTCACTCAGGCAGAGTCCTGCTCTGGTGCCCTGAGAGGTGGCCTGAGTGGGAGATGGGGATGGTTTGTGCTGACACTTCTGCCAGAGGTGACTGGGGAAAGGGGAAAGGTGGGAGTTGGCCGTGGAGGATAGGGCATTTGTTTCTGTAGAGCTCTGTTTCTTCCAGCAAGTCTAGGTGTTGTGCTGGGAGAGAAACTGGGCACTCCCCACGTGGTGTATGGGCAGCACGTGGAGATGGAGTTGGAGCTGGTGGGAGGAGCCCAGAACCTCTTCTCAGCTGGACTGAGAGTTGATCATTCTTGGGGTTGGGCAATAGTTGGGGCTGATGACACCATTTTTTCCACTTTGGTAGGTGTTTGAACTGTTCTGTAATAAAAAGTAGAAGGCAAAACTACCTTTTTTTGTAGTAACAGGAGGAGGAGGAAAGGACAAGGCCACAGACCAGAAGTATGTCTGAGGGCAGGTGTTGGGTGGCCTCGTTGCGGCCTCGGGGCTATGTGTGCTGGGGCCTGTGTCTCGTGTTGCCGAGCCTTGTGCTTGCCTGGCCGTCCATGTGAGCGCCTCACTGTCCTCTGAATGCAGCTTTGCAGACAGGTCTGTCAGTGATGGCTGCTTCTGCCTCTCCCTGGTTGCAGCTTGGATTTGTAAAGAATGGAAACAGATCTCAATATACTGGCAGAATTTGGAAAAGCCAGCAGTTAGTACACTTGGAGAAATGATTACATTCCTGGTTGTCGCAGGAAATACAAACCAAAATGAAATATATTTTTTGCCTATGGAATTAGCAAGTACTTTAAAAAATGGAAACCCAGTGCTGGCAAGAGTGTGCAAGGGTCCTGTTGTAGCGTGGCCCTGCCATCAAGAAGGCATTTGACAGAAGATGTGCTCAGAGCCTCTGCTCTGTGACCTGTCTCTAGAAATCCGTGCTCAGGACCCCCAGCTGGGAAAGGGGGTTCCAGGGTACCCTGTGTACCATGGTGAGCAGGGCATGCAGAGGAAACTGCGCGCTTGCAGGGCAGTCCTGGGCCGTCGGACTGTCTCCTTTGTTTCCCAGATGGTTTTTGACGAGCCTGACCTGGAAACGAGTTTGCAGCTGTATTAGAAAATGAAAAATGTAGTTGAAAACTATATTCACAGGCATCCAAGGCCCTTACTCATCTGGCCGTATCCTATCTTCATAGCCTCTTTCCTTAAAATATCCCTCCTCCAGGCGCTGGGCTCTGGCAGTACCACCCCACCGTCTTAAGAAGGTGCCGCGAGTGCGTCGTTGCTCGCACCACTTGCTTAGGCCCGTGCAGAGGCTCTGTAGGCAGGTATGGCTTTATTGGGCCCTCAGCACCCCTGTGAGGTAGGTGTCACTCCCGTTTCACAGAACAGAAAAAGGAGACCCGCAAAAGATAAATAATTTGTCTAAGGCCACACTGCTGGTAAGAGGCTGAACTGGAACCCAGGCTGGGGTGCCTGCACTGCTGCCCTTCATGCCCCCATGCCTTGGCTGGGCAGCTCCTGCGGCAGGAGCACCATCTGCTCTGCTGCAGGGTGGCCCAGTCACCTCGAGGGCTGCATACTCCTGAGACCGCTTTTCTGCCTTCTCGGGAGGTGTGTGGTTTCCTCTGCTGCTTGCATGTTTCAGTGTTGGCACTGACTTCCTTCTGCCCTTTGTTGCAGCAACTGGCTGTTCTATTTGCCCCTACCAGGTCATAGGCCTCTGACCGCCAAGAGCTCCACGTCTCCTTCCTGTGTCCATATGGGGCAGAGCTCCAGCGTAGTAGAAAGCCAGGGCACGGAGGGGAGGTGATTGTAACTTTGAATGTGTCTTGTTTTTCCTCTGATGCCTGTGTGCAGATCAGAGACATAAGTGGACTGGGAGTGTAAGCAAGGAGTTGCCAGCTCTGGGCTCCAGGACACCTGCTCAGTCTCCCTGGGCATCCATTGTCTCAGTGGGAAAGTGAAAGGACTGGCTTTGGTGATCTGTCAAGATAGTTTCCAGCTCTAAATGTCATCCTAGGATTACATTTTTTATGATAATAGCTTAATCGAGATGACTAGAATAAATTGTTTTCAACTGAATATTTAAGCAGTTAATACTTAATTTGACTTAATCTTCCCAACATCTCCATGTAGTGGGTGAAGAAACAGGCACAGAGGTTGCTTAGGCATAGCTGAGGTAGGACTTCAAATCTCCCTACGGGTTTCACTGTATCTCTTGCTTTTTAAAAACAGTTTGCTTTTGACTTGAATTGCTTGTGATGCTACTTCTAGAGATATTTGGTCTCTGTCCTTGCCAGTAGCCAGGGTGCAAAATGCAGGTCTGGTGGTTCTGATCTGATGGGGAAGTGTCACTTGTTCCTGGTTCCTTGGTGATCCTTGGGTTTCACTCTCATTACTCTTTTTGTTCCAGGATGTTGCGCGAGGTTCTCCGCTCGTAGCAGTCTGTACATTCACTCTAAGAAACACGTGCAGGATGTGGGTGCTCCGAAAAGCCGTTGCCCAGTTTCTACCTGCAACAGACTCTTCACCTCCAAGCACAGCATGAAGGCGCACATGGTCAGACAGCACAGCCGGCGCCAAGGTCTGCACTTTCCACGGCCCCCATGGGGAGCTGCTTCCCTGTGAGAAACGGGAACAGTGCCAGTGCCGTCTGTTCCTTCTTCACCTCTTGGAAGGCGTCAGGCAGTGGGGTTGTGGGCGTGGCTGCCAAGCCAAGTGGCCTCTTTTGCACTCTCTGCCACTTTCTTGCCTTTGACCCTCTAATCCCTCCCATGTCTTTTGTTTTTTGAGACAGGGTCCCTCTCTGTCACCCTGACTGGAGTGCAGTGGTGTGATCATGGCTCACTGCAACCTCAGGCTCCTGCTCAAGTGATCCTCCCACCCCAGTCTCCAGAGTAGCTGAGCCCACAGGCATCCACCACCATGCCCAGCTAATTTTTGCATTTTTTATAGAGACAGGGTTTCACTATGTTGCTCAGGCTGGTTTTGAACTGCTGGCCTTAAGCAGTCTGCCCACCTCAGCCTCCCAAAGTGCTGGGATTACAGGCATGAGCCACCATGCCCTGCCCCTCCCATGTCTTTGAAATGCTTTCCTGGAAGAATGTTTCACTTTGTTGACTTTCCCTAGCATATGTCCCCTAAGCCTGTGTCTCTCACTGGGACTTTTGTCCTGAATTCTGAACCTGCCCCTCCTGTGTTTCCGTCTGCCTCAGCTATTCTATCTCCAAGTAACAAAGGCTAGAGCAGAGTTGTGTTTCAGGAGTGGACTGGGAGTAACGAGGGCTGGAGAGGGCAGGGTTAGAGAGGAAAGTGACGGTGGCCTGGTGACCTGTGAGGGGAATGCTGAGTGTGTGAGTGCCTAGTCATTGGGCAGCTTTGCAGCATGGGACTAGGAAACCTACCCCACTAGGCCTTCTCCACAGTCCAGGATACAGAAGTGCCTGGCAGCTGTGGTGGCGGCCCCTCTGGGGAGCACACCCATGTGCCCTATTCTCTGGGCCCTGGTGCGGTTGTCGCTCCTCACCGGGCCTGGCTGATGGCATCCTAGCTGGCCCTAGAGTTACTTCTGCTGCTCAGTCCGTGGAGGCTGTGTGTGTCACCAACTGGGTCCTCACGTCTCCTGTGTGACCAGCAGCACCACAGCAGAGCACCGGCTTTGGGGCGCAGCTGTGTCACAGCTGCCGCGTTGGCAAGGGACAGGCCTCCATGCCTCGCACAGAGTTTGGTGAGGGGTTGGGCTCAGGGCAGTTCTGTGGCCTTTGCTTTCTTGTGATCCTATTTAGAAGTGGTCATGAAGCCCCTCCTTGGGATCTTGGACACTGATCTTTCACAGTTTACAGCAGTTGCCGTTCAGCTTTATATTTAAATAAATTGCCCTTCTGGCTTTAGTAGTGTCTTGAGGACACGGAATGTGCGTGCCACCTGATTCATGTTGGAGGGTGTCACCTTTGCTCACAGAGGCCCACATGACCAGGCCCCTTTTCTCTGAGGGCTCTGTGAGACTACATCACTTAGGCCTCTCCCCTGTTTGGCCGTTCCCTCTCATGGCACACTTCCCCTTTCCTGACCTGGCCAATTGAGAAGTCTGCAGAGGCCCAGTGTTATACTAGATGCACTTTCCTTAAACTCTAGTGGGATGTGAGACCCTCTTCTGTAGCAACCTATGTATCCCAGGATTGAATTTCCTGTGTGACAATGACTTATTTGTGTGTCATCCCCCTGCCAGCTGTCAGGGGTAGAAGACCAGGTGTCACCCTTTCGTCTAGTGAAAAACAGGCACTCGAGAACACCCAGTTACCGTGGGATTATGTCACGCCCTCAATGGGTTGTTTCAGTCCCCCTAATGGTGGTCCTGGGAGTGGGTTCCTCACTGCTTTGTCACTGATGAAACCAAGATAGAAAGGACTTGCCAGGGTCACACCTGCAAGAAGGGCTGGGGCTGGGCTTTGAACTGTGGTGATCATGACTGTTTTGCCAGATGCTCTGCTATCTAATGTTTATTTAGTGATTGTGTTAATATCTGGCCCTTGTACATGTCTGGTCTCTGGTAGTAAATGTTTATAGAATTAGTAAAGTGCTAAGTAAGAAATTTATTAATAAGTGGGTATCATTTGCACTGAGATTATTCATGATCTCTTCACAGGGAGCTGAGTCCTCAAGAGAGTCAAGGGAATTTTTAGGAAGTTTTGAAAAACTGACATAGTTTTCCATTTTTAATTTCTCCAAAGGATCACTACCATTTTCTTTCAAAATGCTTCATTGGTACTAAGGGATATTTATTGAAGAAGTGATACTATATTGATACTTTTTTTAATCTTTAAAGTAATATGACAACTAAAGAGGATACATTCTGAATTTGATTTTCTTTTTGTCTAGAATAGACTTCTTTTGTAGATTTGCATTATTAAAAATATAAAATATAATAGACATTCTGGCCAGGTGTTCACAGCCTGCAGGTATGAGCTTGGGAACAGTAACAGCTGGCATGGGAGAAATAGGATCAGAGAACCGAGAGCAGCTTTTCCTCTGGGCCAGGTGCTGGCACAGTCAGGAAGCTGCTGGGGACAGTCCTATGGAAAGCGTGACATCAAGTCCTTATTTGGCTCTTTTGCCCAAATTAATTATGCTCCCATTTTACTGTTTGCTTGATGCTTGAAGCATCCTGTGATTTGGTGTAATTGGCATGTACTTGTATACAAACCCTAAACTTGCCTATGCATTAAAATTTTTTGGAAGTCATTATTCCCCCAAAAGTATGCTGATTATTTAAATTACGTAGTTGAATAACAAATAATCAAATATTTAAAGAGTATTATGACCAGAAATTAAGACTCCAGATGAAGAAGGGCCTGTTAGAATCATGACATGCTGCAGGCGTGGTGGCTCATACCTGTAATCCCAGCACTTTGGGAGGCCCAGGCGGGCCGATCACGAGGTCAGGAGATCGAGACCATCCTGGCTAATGCGGTGAAACCCCGTCTCTACTAAAAACACAAAAAAATTAGCCGGGCATAGTGGCGGGTGCCTGTAGTCCCAGTTACTCGGGGAGCTGAGGCAAGAGAACGGGGTGAACCCGGGAGGCGGAGCTTGCAGTGAGCCGAGATCGCGCCACTGCACTCCAGCCTGGGCGACAGAGCGAGACTCCCTCTCAAAAAAAATAATAATAATAATAATTACATGCTGCATCAGGGCTGGGCACTGTGCTGGGGGCTGAGGGGACAGTGGTGGTCAGATGGCTCTCCACCCTCAGGAGGCTTGCAGTCCTGCTGGGGAAATGTGAGGCTGGAGATGCAGTGGTAGGGGAGGCTGTGGGAGGGAAAGCCCATCAGGAAAAGCTCCGTCTAGGGGGCCCCCAGCATGCCTGGAAGTCTTGTGCATCTGCCTAGAGCTGAAGCTTTGGGTCTGTCCTGGCTTTGCCAGGCAGCCAGTTTTATTTCCTTTGTTCACCCCTATATGGCTCCAGTCGGTTTTGGGGTGGCAGCTAGTTGTGGAGTGGAGCACAGAGTTTGGCAAACATGAGCTGACAAGCTGATTCGGAAAATATCCTCAGAGCACAGGCCAGCTAGCAACTGGCAGCTGAGTGGAAAGGTTCAGTCCTCTCGGGCAGCTCCGGTGGCACCTAGAGGGGAGAGGGTGCAGGCTTTGAAGCCAGAAAGACATGGATGCAAGTCTTACTTTGCTTCTTGCTGTTACCAGTTGGCCTGACCTTAGGAAATGTTATTTAATCTCTCTCCAGTTGTTTCCCCTGGAGAAAGCCCTGTCAGCCTGAGGATCCAAGACGCGTACGTAAAGTGTCTGATTTCAGCCAGTGTCCCTTCCTGTCCCTTCCTGGGGTGTGTGTCGGTTGCCCTGAGCGACCGGCCATGGGACTCTGTCGTGATAACCAAGCTTCAGGGTGTGGGAAGAGGACAGTCAGTGCTTCCTTGGGGCATCACTCGGTAACATCATGGGCATAAACAAAAGTACTCAGTCTTCAAGGTCATAAAGTAACCAGAGTGTATTCCTTTTTTTTTCAGATCTCTTACCTCAGCTAGAAGCTCCGAGTTCTCTTACTCCCAGCAGTGAACTCAGCAGCCCAGGCCAAAGTGAGCTCACTAACATGGATCTTGCTGCACTCTTCTCTGACACACCTGCCAATGCTAGTGGTTCTGCAGGTGGGTCGGATGAGGCTCTGAACTCCGGAATCCTGACTATTGACGTCACTTCTGTGAGCTCCTCTCTGGGAGGGAACCTCCCTGCTAATAATAGCTCCCTAGGGCCGATGGAACCCCTGGTCCTGGTGGCCCACAGTGATATTCCCCCAAGCCTGGACAGCCCTCTGGTTCTCGGGACAGCAGCCACGGTTCTGCAGCAGGGCAGCTTCAGTGTGGATGACGTGCAGACTGTGAGTGCAGGAGCATTAGGCTGTCTGGTGGCTCTGCCCATGAAGAACTTGAGTGACGACCCACTGGCTTTGACCTCCAATAGTAACTTAGCAGCACATATCACCACACCGACCTCTTCGAGCACCCCCCGAGAAAATGCCAGTGTCCCGGAACTGCTGGCTCCAATCAAGGTGGAGCCGGACTCGCCTTCTCGCCCAGGAGCAGTTGGGCAGCAGGAAGGAAGCCATGGGCTGCCCCAGTCCACGTTGCCCAGTCCAGCAGAGCAGCACGGTGCCCAGGACACAGAGCTCAGTGCAGGCACTGGCAACTTCTATTTGGTATGAAGCACTCTATTCAGTCACCACCATATAGGTCACTTCTCTCATACTCGGTCTTGAGGATATTCTGGATTAATCCTTTCTATGCAGACGTTTCTGGTTTACAAAAGGACGCAGCCCTGGACTACAAGTCTGGAACTGACAAGTTCTTATGACCTTGACAAATCACCTTAACCCATCTGAGCCTTAAATTCTCATTTATTTCCTGCATAAGGAGATTTGGCTAAATGCTTTCTGAGGTCCTTTGGAGTCCTGTGGCTCCATGGTAATGTGCTCCTTTCCTTGAAGATTGGGGGTTTTGTAATGTTGAGATACTTTGCCTCTATGCTTGTCAGCTCATGACCAGTCCTAGAAGAGGAGTCGAGACATAAGCCACCTTCAGAGGTTCAATGGAAACTTTAAAACCATACCAAACTCTTTTTTAAAATTAGAATTAACAAGAAAAAAAAAAAGGGTGGGGTTTATGAGCCTTAGTTCTTGGAGGATTATAAGAGTACTTCCCCAGTTTTGAGGCTGGACAGTTAATATACTTTATATCAATTATACATTTAATATAATTTAATTTAAAATAATTTAAAGATTCTTAGGAGATAGTCTGACTTTCCTGACCTAGATGGGAATGATCAGATAGGGATTTTTTTTGTGGCACAGGCTAAATTTGATGGTGACATTTATATTGTTGAGAATGTTACATCTTATTTTACCACAACTTTTAAAAAATGTTACATCTTTTGCAGTAGGATCAGTTGTGAGGCACATAGTAGCTGAGGCTCCATGGAGCCACCTTTCATTTCTTTCAGTCAGAGAGGAGGACAGTCTCTGTCTCTGCATTTCTGGTGTCTTGCTTGTCGGTGGCAGAGCCATGCTTGCCGGCATTTGCTTAGGCGGCCATAGTAGTTGCTAAGTGTACAGGTGACTGGGCAGGGATGGGAGGTGGCCACAGGTCAGAGACAAGTGCTCAGTCAGTCCCTGGTGCCAGGACTGTGTGCCTCGGTGCCTTGGGAAATGGAAGCTCCCTGGTGCAGCTGCAGCTGTGGGTGGAGGTAGAGAAGCCAGCAAGACCTTGGTCTTAACCCCGTGTTCATTTTCTTGCTAGCTGTGTGACGTTGGGCTACCTCGCTTCTCTGAGTACAAATGGTGTGTGGTGAATGGGTCCCAGGTATGCTACGAGCTTTGAGGGCTGCTCTTTTTCTCTTCATAGCGATAAGTGTTAAACTGTCTTTCTTAGGAAACGTTCACAGACTTGCAACAGCTGATGTCCTCTGAGTACTGTCTGACTCCCTCAGGCAAGTTCCTGAATTCAGTACCATCATTATTATTTTTGTGTAAGACTTTGACAAAGTATAGCCCCTGCCACCAGAGCAGCCTGTACAGTGGGTCTCTAAGGTGGGACCTGCCCCGGGCCTGCCATGCACGTGTGTGAAACAGCGTGAAAAGTGTCGCGGTAAGGTGACCCTGGGTTACCCAGGCAAGGCTCGGTGTTTGTTTCAGAAAGCAGAGAAGTATGTAATTGATTTTAAAAGTTTCTGTTTAAAATATTTGGCTATGTTTTAGACTATGAAGGAATGAACTTTGCTTCTCTGGATAAGAAAGTCACATACATTGTTCCAGCTCCAAGTTTGTTCGGCCCTCGCCACAAGTGGATGTAGCGTTTGGCCCTTTGTGTGCCTTGCTGGTGACTCTGGTTTTGGGAGCTCGGATATGTCCCAGAAGCAGGCTTATGGCACTTCTGTAGCTCCCTTGCTACCCTTCCTTTGTGTCTAGATAAGTGACTGACATGCTTTTCTTTGGTCTCAGGAAAGTGGGGGCTCAGCAAGAACTGATTACCGAGCCATTCAACTAGCCAAGGAAAAAAAGCAGAGAGGAGCGGGGAGCAATGCAGGTGAGGCCGTGTGTGCTGCAGCCGGACGAGCAAGGGCCTGAGGGTTCTCTGTCACTGTTACTGGCAGAAGAAACACAGCAGGTGTTTCTGTGCTCTTGGTTTTACTTTTCTGTTCAGAATACCCTTTTATCAACTCCTTAGTTTTATTTGAACTTAAGGGAAAAAATTAGTAACAAAATTCCCAGCATCAGTATGAACATATTTTATTTGCCTAAACAAGCTTTGTGAAAGTTAAGCGTTCAAACACCAGTGTCAGTTACCTGGAAGGCTACTAAGGTAAATAAGCAAAGCAGGCCAGTTGTCAGGAAAGCAGAGATTGTGCCTGGTGCTGAATGGCCTTGGGGCCTGATCTTGGCATGGCAGAGACCTGGGGACTGCCACTGTCCCCAGGTACGTGTACATGGAGCCAAACTGTGTGTCCTGTGGCATTGTCAGAGTTATGTTGAAATCTTATTTGAAAATGTTAGCAACTTACTTGCATTTTTAAAGACCAAACAAGAGCTGGTAACCTATGGCCTCAAGCATCTGTCCTTCCTAAAAATGGAATAGTGGGATGTAGTGCTTAATGGAAACTGCTAAATCTTTTTCTAAAAACTAACAGTGGATTTTTAAAATATATTGTTTTTTGTGTATTTCATTTGTCCTTTGTATTTATCTAAAAGGGTTGATATGATTTTATATCTTGCTCTCTATTCCTAATAGTATTATGACTTCTTATTTAAAATAAATAACAATTGCCGGTTTTCTGTTAATCAGTTTTCTTAAAGCCAGTGTTTCACTATAGTGTATGCATCAGTGTGAATTGTGACTTAGGAAGGGACACCTCAACAGTTCACAAAGTACCAGAATGGAACTTGCAGAGATAATAGAAGGAAGTGTGGTGGTGAAATTTGTAGAAAGAGTTGACCATATACCAAGGAAAGTTCATGAAGGAAAGCGGATGCCTTTATTGAACCTGGTAGATAATCTTGAAGAAAAAAGAGACAAACATTCAAGTATATAACACGTGTCCTATTTATTACATTGCTTTGGAGTACTATCTATAAAGGAGGTTTGATGTTTTCATTACTGTTTTTGTAAATATTTCAGCATTATCTTTAAAAAGTAAGGACATTGGCCAGGTGCGGTGGCTCATACCTGTAATCCCAGCACTTTGGGAGGCCGAGGTGGGTGGATCACCTGAGGTCAGGAGTTCGAGACCAGCCTGGCCAACATGGTGAAACACTGTTTCTACTAAAACACAAAAAAATTAGCCAGGCGTGGTGGCACGTGTCTGTAATCCTAGCTACTTGGGAGGCTGAGGCAGGAGAATCGCTTGAACCCAGGAGGCAGAGGTTGCAGTGAGCCGAGATTGTGCCACTGTGCTCCAGCCTGGGTGACAGAGTGAGACTCCATTTCAAAAAAAAAAAAAAAAAGTAAGGACATTAAAAAAAATTATAGCCATCTAATGTTGCCACTTCTTTAAAAATTAACAGTATTTTCTTAATGTCAGTATCTAGCAAATGTTCAAATTTTCAGTTGTCCCAGATGCCTCAAATATTTTATGTAACTGTCTGTTGGAATCAGAATCCAGTGGGGTTCATATGTCACTACTGGTTGATACATCATCTCTTGACTGTTTGACAGCTGTAGGGTTCTCTGCTAGGTCTTGCCTGGTTTTTGTTGAAGAAACTGATTGTTCTTTCGAGTGTGCCAGTCTGGACCTTAATGATCACATCACTGTTTTAATAGGTTCCTTCGTTTTTTTTCTTTTCCTGAAAATTAGTAGTTACGTTTAGTGGTTAGATCTGGTTGGTTGGTAAAACTCCGCTGCAGGTGGGAGTGGGCTCTTGCAGGAGACCCCCAGCCTCTGGTGGCAACCATTGTGACCAGATACTGGATCCACTCATTTCTTAGGGGTTACTCTAAACGGTGGTACTCTAAATCTGTCATTCCTTTCTTACTTATAGCTGGGACATGTCTATAAAGCGCAGCTTCTCGTTTTTTTACCCTGAGGTGCAGTTCATGATGTTTGAATCTGTGTGAGTTTCTTAGCATCCTGCAGTGATGGTCAGAGTATTTTAATGCACTCATTGGTTTAAATACTTCATACACTTCTAAGGGAAATGGAAACCTGGTACCTGCTAGGTCTCCGTGTGTGAGTGCAGCAGGAGAATGTCCTCGTGAGGGTGAGGCTGCTGTCAGTGCCACCCACATCCTTGAAAAGCCCCTCCAGGTGCCTCAGCCAGTGCAGGAAGGCCACCGTCTCTTTTCCAAAACATGCAGGGCACTGGTGTCTTCCCGCGCCCATGGGTCTGCTGTGGTTTTAGACACATATTCCTGCACAGCGCTCCTCTGTGTGTCTTGTCACAGTGTTGCATCCTCTGGCGGGGATGCCTTTGCCCGCCTCCCCTCAAAGCAGCATCCTGCATACTCATGCTGCATTTATCACAGCTGAGAGTCCCCTGTGGCCGCAGTCCTGGCAGCTGAATGGCAGACTTGATGTGAATGTGACCAGACTCCCCCAGTGCCCTTCCCTGTTCCAGGTTCCATGTGCATTTAATTGTCACCCCTCCCCGTCTCCTCTGGTCTGGTTGAGGGCCTTGGCCCTCCCTTGTCATGATGCTTTCAAAGAGGATGGGCCTATCGCTCTGGACCGTCCTCCCTGTGGGCCTGCCTGATGTCTTCTGGAGATGAGACCCGGGCTGGGTTGCTGGAGACGGGGGTGAGGTGCCCTCCCCACACATCCTCCCTGGGCCATGCTGTCCACACGGCAGATGTGGTAACCTGGATCACTGGTTAGGGTGGTAGCTGCTAGGTTTCTTCACCATCAACTTCTTGTTTTTCCCTTTGTAATTAACTATCTTGCAGTAGATGCTTTGAGACTGTATGTGGGGCTTGGGGGTCCCTAAGACCACCTTCACTTCTAATAGCAACTGCAAGCTTGGGGGTCCTCAAGACCACCCTTAGGTAATTCTCTAGAAGGACTCATGGAGCTCACTGATAGCTGTTGTACTCACGGCTAAGGCTTATTGCAGCAAAAGGACACAGATTAAAGCCAGCTGAGGGAAAAGGGGCCCAGGCAAGGCAGGGCCCATGAGAGTTCCTAGTGTGACGCTTCAAGTGTCCTCTCATGGAGGTGTGAACAGTGCCAACTTCTCCCAGCATGTGACAGCACCCAGAGACCATTGCCCCCCAGGGAAGCCCACCTGAGACTCACTGTCTGGAGTTTTGTTGGGTCTCAGTTGTGTGGATTGGCTGGCCTTAGTCTCCAGCCCTCCAGAGGCTGAGCTGGCGCTGTGTGCCCGAGGCCTCCACCACAGGGTTAGCACAGACTGTGGAAGTGGCCCAGGGCACCCAGTTAGACAGACATTCTTACCAGGCAGGACTTTCCAAGGGTCTAGAGATCTCCCAGGAGCTGGGGGCAGAGGCGAGGCCTCTCTGGCAGGGTTAACCCTTTGCCTTGCACTGCAAGTGCCCTGTTTCTCTTTAAGCTTTCCTCTCATGTAACACTCAGCAGGGGCTTTTTGCCTGTGGGGTTTAATGGTGATTTTCCATTTCCCTTATTCTTGTGTACTTATTAATTTTATAAGGAAGAGCTGTCTCTTCTCCCTCATTTACTTATTCGCAGTATGGATTCAATGATACTGATTCTTTTTTTTTTGTTTTTTTTTGAGATGGAGTCTTGCTCTGTCGCCCCGGCTGGAGAGCAGTGGCGCGATCTCGGCTCACTGCAAGCTCCGCCTCCCAGGTTCACGCCATTCTCCTGCCTCAGCCTCCCGAGTAGCTGGGACTACAGGCGCTGCCGTGCCCAGCTAATTTTTTTTTTTTGTATTTTTAGTAGAGACGGGGGTTTCACCGTATTAGCCAGGATGGTCTCCATCTCCTGACCTTGTGATCCGCCCGCCTCGGCCTCCCAAAGTGCTGGGATTACAGGCGTGAGCCACCATGCCCGGCCTCAACGATATTGATTCTTTGGGCTGTAGTCAGTATTGGATTATGATCAATATTATCACCATTTATTTTGTTGCTCCAGTTCTTCCAGCTGTGGCCAATCCTTCAGTTGGATTCTTGTGCCCCATCAACATTCTCCATCCTGGCTTTTTGTTTTGAGCACTTCCTTCCTTCCTAGCACCACCAGGCTCTTGTATTATCCCTGTCCCTGCCCTGGAATCGACTCCTCCTCCAGAGAGCCCTGGTTTCTTTTGTTAGAGGATGGTATATAGAATCCAACATGCAGACACTCGGTGGACTTATTGTTACTGGGGTTTTGTTATACTAGGGTTTCAGTGGTCAGTGCTAGTATTTATGTATGTTAACCCACGCTGTGCTTTGGATTCAGGCTATTTCAAATTTTAGATAATATGGTACATATATTATTAATACCACTAGTTACTACATTGGTACTTTTCAGCAAAATATATCTAAGTGGGATCAAATGAGACTGTAAATAGCTTTACATCAGTTCAGGTCAGTTATGTTGCTAAATTACTTTTGGCATTAAGTTTAGGGAAAAAAAATTGGGTTTGGGATTTTTTGGTTTCAACATTTGTGATTGAGAGACTATGGACCTGTAATAAGTCCAAGAACAGCAGTTGCAGTGTAACAGGACTGTTAATGGAATCGGGTCATTTAGAAACAGTCAAGACTTCGCTGTTGTGCATGTGGTTAGGAGCCAGTGCACACGTCAGTTCTTAGGAAATGTACAGTCTGAGCAATAGCATTTGAAATCCAAGACTCTTCCCATTGTGTTGCTGTTGAGTGTAGAAAATAAAATGTGTGAATTTCTTTATCTTGAGTATTGAGATTCTCCCCTTAGAATAAAACAAGAATTTTTCTCTCAGTGTAAAAATGTCAAGTTTTATTCTTGAAATGAATAGCAAAGTTAAGCTTAAAAACGTGAACAGCTTCAGAACTATAAATGGGTATGTATACCTTTCTGCTGTCTAAGGGCAGAGAAGGGAAAGAAAGTGTGGTGCTTATCAGAGGAGACAGCAGCAAGACACATTGTGACAGAAAACCAAGGGTATCCTGTGTCACAGTGAAGTGTAATGAGGGCACCTCTCCTTTCAAGAGACGAAGATTGAATACATGGGAAGCACACTCTCCGCTGTGTGTTGTCTAGGAGAGGTGCACCCTGTATGGAAATATTTGGGAAGGTTAAGATTAAGACAGGGTAAAATAAAGCAAAGGCAAATCACAAAGCAAGGGCTAATGTTAATATGAAAAGTGCAGAATTCAAGGAAAAAGCATGGGGACAAAGAAGATTTTTCCTCTTTTTGGTTGCTGTTCATGTGTAGCCTACAACAGAACTATAAGACCTATAGACATTTATATGAATATTTATTTGAAAACGTATAATATCAAACAATGTAAAAGCCAATAGAAATCTCAGATAATTGAATGTATAGAAACTAGCAGTTTGAAAGTGATTAGTTCATTATTTGCTGATCAAGCAGAAAAATAAGCATATGAAAGATATTTAAAATGGGATTAATAAAGTTGATTTAACAGATCCTATTCCATGTCCTTTGAATATTTATAGAAATTAAATGGAACAAATTAGGGCATCAGGAAAACTATACAAAAGTCTTTACCAAAAAAAAAAATATATATATATATGTGTAGTACTACCTATATATATACATAATATATAGTACTGCTTATATATATATATGCCTATATGTACACATATATATATACATGTATAGGCAGTACTATGTTTTCTGATCATAATATGTTAAATTAGTAAAAATTACTTGGAAAACAAAACCTCTAGACAATCAGGTGAAAGAAGAAATAAAAGCGAGGCTGGGCGCGGTGGCTCATGCCTGTAATCCCAGCTCAGCTACTCAGGAGGCTGAGGCAGGAGAATCGCTTGAACCCGGGAGGCAGAGGTTGCAGTGAGCCAAGATCGCACCATTGCACTGCAGCCTGGGCAACAAGAGCGAAACTCCTTCGCCAAAAAAAAAGAAAAAAAATAAAAGCTAATTACAAATACAGGAAAATGGATAGGCCATGTGTTTATAAGTTTGAGCTCTTGAGCCAGTGACTTCCCTGCACGTTCAGCTTTCTCCTTTGTGAAATGGTAATAGAAGCACGCTGCACTTGGGATTCTTGTGGATTACATGTGAGGGTCTTAGAAACACTTGATGTGTAAGCCAACTATTATGTATTACTGTATATGGAACACAAGGGATGTAGCCAAAACTAAATGCAAGTTTGTGCCTCAGATGTCTTCCTATCAGAACAGAGTCAAATCCAGATTTTGATGCTTAAATGTGACAGCTTATTCAGATTTAGAAAAACTTTTGGTATGGGCCAAAGAAAACATATCCTTAAGGGGATATGGCCCCTAGGCCCTCATTTTCCTTTTCTGTCTGAGCAATTAAAAAAAGCATTAAGTAAATTCCACAAATTCTTTGGAATACCTAGAGATAAACAGATATCATGTTAACTGTATGATAATAAGTTAGAATACTTGCAACAAAATGCAGAGTTTTCTAGGAAAACAAGTAATCATTCAGAAATAAGAATATGAATAGTTCCTCAGTTCTCCCCCTTTGTGGAATTTGTGCAGTAAATGCTGCTCCAAAGCTCTGTGGAAAACAGAAGCTTCCCATGAAAAATCTGACAAGGGTATCTCTCAGAAAGAGAGCTGTAATCCCAGCACTGTGGGAGGCTGAGGTGGGAGTATTGCTTGAGGCCAGGAGTTCAAGACCAGCCTGGGCAACGTGGTAAGACCCCCATCTGTAAAAAAAATAATAATTAGCCACGCGTGGTGGTGCACACCTGTGGTCCCAATTACTGGGGAGACTGAGGCGGAAGAATCGCTTGAGCCCAGGAGATGGAGGTTGTCGTGAGCTAGGATCTGCCACTGCACTCTAGCCTGGGTGACAGTAAGACCCTTGTCTCAAAAAAAAAAAAAAGAAAAACTGCAGATTGGTGACTCTTACGAAGATAGATGGAAATGTTCTAAATAAAACACACTTAGGATCTGGCAATATATATATTTAATGTACTATTCTGACCAAATGGAGCTTAATCAGATAGCTTGAGAATGATTTAATGTTACGAAATCTGTTAATTGCATTATCTCAATAATAGATCGGTGAATAACTTTATTATTCTCTCAACAAATCCTGTATTTGATTTACAAAATGGATGGGAGGTTTCAGGGAGAGCAGTTGGAAGCCTGTGTGCTCACCTGTTAGGAACGAGAGTGGCAACAGCAGTGGGGAGGAGTGCTCGGCTCCTGCACCTGTCTCGATGGCAGAGCCCACAGGCTTGGCTGACAGACGTGGGATGAAGGAAAGAGAAGCCTCTCACTCTTCCCACAGCATTGTAGTGCGATTTCATGCAGAAGTCCAAGCAGGTTCCAGGACAATTGTGTAAGAAGCTATGGACAAGAACGTCTAAGAAAACGGAAAATGACATAGAGGATTTGCACTGTAGCTAAGACTTCACGCAAGGCTGTGGCAGCTGAAAGCATGTTCTGGTGCTGGGGCTGCGTGGCAGAGCCAGGAGCCCAGGATCCAGCGCACTGGGCACCGACCTGGGACCTGGTCATCTTTGCGTGTGGAAAAGATGGCATTTCCAGTTATTGACAGGTGAATGCTGGCCTTTTAGGGAAAAAAAAATATTAGAATTCCATACAGAATAAAGAATGAAGATGAGAGGTTAAAGGTTTTTCTAAGGCATGAAGAGCTGTGGGGGCAGCCTGCCCTTGTTCTTTTTGTCGTGTGTCCTTCACATGCAGTAACTCTGTTCACGCCTCACAAAAACCCTATGAGGTGGAGACCTGCCATCAACCCTTCCTGCACGGGTGCCACTGAGGCCCCAAGGTTAAATCATTTCCCAGAGTGTATCAGCAGAGGCACAGCCACAGAGACACGTCCGCACAGAGAGCTTTCCAGATCACCAGTAACAGCGTGAGATCATGGTGCAGAAGGTCATGAGGAGGATGGCAACGAGCGAGACACAGCCGGTTGGTGCTCACAAGGACATTGGTAGATCTGACTGAGGGCCAGGTCGGCTAGGCCTTCCCAGGTGACAGGAGCCCAGTGCCGGCCTTGGTGCACACAGCGCGTCCTTGTGCTTTCTCAGGAGAGCTTCACTGGGGACACTCTGTGATGTTTTTGGAGGGTCATTTGGTAATGTGTTCAGGAGCCAAAAAATATGCATAATATTCAGTCTTACAATTACATTTTTTGAATTTATCTCAAGGAAATCCCAGGGATCTGTGTGAAGCTGCACATGCTGCTGCTGCTCAGTGCGGGACTGTTTATAATATTTGTAACTCAAATGTCCAGAAGAACTGTACACTCTGTGCATGTTTTCAGTAAGTTCATATTTGTAAGAAAAAGTGGGTGTGTTGAGAGACAAATTTTTGTGTACATTTACCTGGAAACAAGCAGTAGTACACATATGCATGCATGAAGTGGTGTTTTCCTGAGTGTTAAGATTGTGAATGTTTTATTATGATCATTTCTACTTTTTCTATTGGAAAATACTTTGTGTAATTAAAACATGAAGATGGAGCTACCATCAAAATGGTGAGCAATAGAGCACTGTTCCTCCTGGGGTGGCCTGGTGGGCCTGAGGGACTCAGGTGGTGATGAGGAGTGGCCTTGAGTCCCTTTCCTTTCCATGGGACAGTGGGGACGAGAGCTAGAGTGATGAGGCAGGTTAAGTGTGTGCCTACCTCCCTGTGGCTGGAGCACTGTTGTGGCCACCCCGGGACCCCCTGAGCCTGGTGTCGCCCTGGCTTGCTGGTCCCAGCCTAGGGAGTGGGCCCCTATGGGCAGAGGGTGAGGTGGCTGTGCTGGCACTGCAGCTCAGGCACACACACACTGGAGTGTTCCAATGGGTGATCAGGTTGGATGGAGCCTTGAAATTAAGTCAGTGATGTAATTTTTATAATCTGTTTCACTTTAAAACAAAAATCTTTGCACACCTGGTCCAAGTTTTCTCCCCTTTCTTCCTGTTGCTGCCATGATGAAAGCAGAAGGGACCACCCTCCAGGGAGAGCAGCAGGAAGGGAGATGCGGGTAGGGGCCCTGGGTCAGCAGGGGCGGTCAGTCCGGAGGTGCACCCCCATTTATTCCTCGTTCTGGAAGAGATTTCTAGTCACATGCATGTGGCTCCTGTGCCACATGTGTCATGAGGTGCCCAGGTGGGTTTGGATTTGGATGAGGGCATCTTTGAGGATGCAGGGGCTTTGTCATACCCTGTGGGCCCCGTGTACACCCCTGGGGCAGATGTGGCCTCTAACAGGGGAGGGTGCGTGGATCTCTAAGCCGGGGAGGAAAGCAGATTGCAGACTTGCCGAAGTGGGAGCTGTCTGCTCTTGTGTTTTCTTTAGGGGCAGGAGAATTTTGCCCAGCAGTCCCTCGTGGCTCCCTCCACACCACTGACCCTTACGCATCCAAGGTTGGAGCCCTGGCAGGTAAAGGGTGAGCAAGGTGCAGTTGCCTGTGAGCAGCTGTGGAGGGGCCTTTCCTGTTGTACACTTCCTGTGAGGGTCTCAGACCCCTTGCAGACTCTGGACATCACTTCCTAGAGGGGCCTGGGCTCCTTTAGTCCTGTGAGTAAAGCTTTGGTTTTGATGACTGTCTCAGGGAAAGGTAGAAAGGTGCTTGGTGGCAGTGAACTTCCTGCTGCAGAAGTGGGTGTGACCCCAGTGCTGGAGAATGGGCTGTGAGCCGAGTTTCCCGCACCTGCATGAGTGAGCGCCATGGTCCTTCTCCACAGAGCGTCCTGCTGTCACTTTGGTTTGTGTTAACTTTGACGCCTTTCTTGTTTCTTACTCTGCTTTCCTGCATGGAGCACACAGCCCCGGCTCCCTTTCAGTCTGCATGGCAGACACCTGGCCTCTGCAGGTCCAGTTCATTCTGTGTCCCCTTTCGGTCGTCCCTATGTTGCCGTCAGGTGATTGAGGGTGAAGGTCGGCCTTGGCAGCCCAGTGGAAAGTCCCTTGACTCCTGGCCGTCAGTGGCAGGTCTCCAGCCTTTGGGAGGAGGAAACTTCTATTTAACAAAGAAATGGAATTGACTTTGCCACACACAGCCAGAGCGATGATTTGTAGAGCCAACCTGCTGAGACATTCAAAGCATCAGTCGTAGGGTCAGGACCGCCAGGTGAGGTGTGGCTCCACCTGCAGCAGCCTGGGGCAGGTTGCCTAGCCTCTGGCTTTAGCATCCCCTTCTGTGAAATGGGGAAAGTGATGGGACCTGGCTTTGTAGGGTGGTTGTGAGGACCTACAGGGGTTTTTGCAAAATACTTAGCCCAGGGCTGACTAAAAGATTCAGAGACGCTGGGCATGGTGGCACACACCTGTAGTTCCAGGTACTCGAGAGGCCGAGGCGGGAGGATCACTTGAGCCCAGGAATTAAAGTCCAGCCTGGGCAACATAGTGAGACCTTATTTCTTAATAAAAAAAGGTAAAAGCTTTGGTAATAGTTTTAAACATATATTTTGTTCATTACATCTTCTTCTGTACATTCAACATTTTGTCAGAACAAAGTAAGAGAAAGAGTGGCAGGGCTTTGTGTGTATGTGGTTTCAGAGCTGCTGACCTCTAGGATGGGGTCCTGCTACATTTACTCTTCTGAGGCCTCCGGAGCTGGCCTTGGCTGCCCTATGCCATACCCTGTGCTATGTGCCGTGCCTGTGGACCTGCCCTGCCTGCGTGCTGCCCCGTCCCGTCTCCCCAGGCAGTTCCTGCACCTCCTGCCGTGTGGATGCTGGCCGTTGCTGTCTGACTCGCATTCTTGGAGACACTGACCCAGGCTCCTCTCAGCGCTTCCAGCCAGGTTTGGCAGTGGGAACATTAGGGGGAGATTAGAGGGTGTGTGGAGCGAGGCAGGGCCTCACTTGCTCTGCTTCCGTGGGAGTTTCATGGCGATGGCCGTCTACCCTCATGGCTGTGGCCCCAGTTCTTCCTGGGTGGCCCCTGCTGTAGTTCTGCTATACGCTGTCCCTGTTCTGGACTCTGGTGACGCCACACCTTCCCTAGTCCCTCCAGCCCTAGGGGTGGCAGCCCCACGACGTGCTGGTCTCTGGTGCTTGCTTCTTAGTGCATGGCCGTGCCATGCCCTGGTGCCTGCCCGGGATGCCTGTGTGGAATGCCCAGAGTGTTCTAGGCAGGGTCCCCTCTGTGATTAGCTCCTCAAGGGTGGTGTCTGTGTCACAGACACTTTGGGGTCCTGTCAGTGGCCTCTCGAGGCTCCCAGGGTACCCTGTACTTTCTCACCCCTTGTTGCTCATCTATTGTGGGTTTGTCTGTGTGCTGCAAAATGCACGGCTGTACTGAGCGCACCAGCCAGCAGCTGTAAGCTCCATGTGCAGGGCCACCATCTGGCCGAGCACCTGCCATGTGGTGAAGATACAGTACATACTTGTTGAATGGGTGATGAAACTTGCGCAGACCTCAAATAAAAGCTAATAATTTAATGTATAAAGCTAACATACCCTGGTTCTAAAACTTGACAAAGGTGTGATAACTATTGAAGACATACGGTGTGCCCTGCACAGTTCTAAGCCCAGCACATCTACATCTATTACCCCATTAGTCCTCGCAACAATCCTGTGAGGTGTAGGTCCTCGTGTCCCCACCTTTCTGGATGAGAAAGCTGAGGCAGGAAGAGTTCAGCCAGGGCTGCATAGCTGGTAGGGGCAGGGGCAGCGGCAGGATTGAACCCAAGGCCGGCTGCCCTCAGAGCTGTTACTGAGCCTGTTGGCCACGTGGTATGCAGGAACACTGTGTCTCACCTCCAGCAGGTGAAGCAGGCATGGGAATCCCAAGTGAAATACCAGCACATGGACAGCGGGCGAGGGTGATGTGGGGCGAGGCAGCCTGTCAGCATGATTTGCCACAGCAAATGCCGCAAGAGACGTGCAGGGTCCACAGAGGCCGAACAGGGCAGTTGATGACATTCATCACCTGCTACTGATTTGAAAACATCACAAATATGAATCAACTAGGAACCCAGATTTCCCTAATACTAGAGAGCAGCCAGCTGTCAGTGGCATTTTCAGTGGAGAGATGTTGGCATCCCCCCAAAGCTGGAGGAATGGTAAACCAAACCATTGGCGCAATCTATTTGACACTTTTATGGAAGTCTCTATTTTTAAAGAAGCAGAATCAAATAGAAAGGAGAGAATGATGATTACTTAATGACAAAGTCATTGTCAGGCTTAGAAAACCCAGGGGAATCAACTCAAGCAATTAGAAATAAGAAGGATCAATAGATAGCTAATTGCACAGTACATATTTGTATATATAAAATTAATAGATTTTCCAATAAGAATAATTGTGAAAAACTGACCTTATTCATAATGACAGTAAAAGTAATAAAATATGCCAGGCTCACTCATGACAAGTGTGCTCTGAATGGGTAAGGTCCTGTGTAGGGTCTGCCAGCTAGAGATGCCCAATTCTTGTTCACTTACATACTTTATTCAGTTCCTGTAAAATCCCAGAGTAACTTAAACACCTGTCTACTTTAAGTTCATCTGGGAAGGTAGCTTGGTGAGAATACCCATGAAGGCTGTGAGATGGGAGGAGGCAGTCGGGTACTCAGGGCCTGCCAGATGCCCTGGAGGAGAGAGTGCCCCTGCAGAACAAAGGACCTGTCGTGTGAGCAGCACATCCCTAAGCAAAGGGTGAGCACTCAGCACAGGCAGGGCTGGTCATGTGGGTTTACTCTGGAAGAGATCATTGTGGGTTCCTTATGCTTTCTCCCCTGTAGCTTCACCACCCAAGAAAAACTACTTACAGTGTTTCAGTGTTAAACTGAATGAAACCTACACAAATGTGAAATCTGAAACCTACACAAATGACTTGTTTTTGAAAAATGATAAACATTTTTATCTGCTTTTTGTTCTTAATATGAATATTTTTCCTTGTGGATAAGTATATTAACATATTATATCTTTATAAGAGCTGTGTTGAACTAACCATGTCAGGGACCTAGTGAGTTAAGCCCCAGTGACCTCTGATCTTCCACCCTTGGGAGAATTGGGAAAATAGTCACTTACCTCCTGTTCAAGTGAGGATCTCAGTAGAGGAAGCTCGCATGACCCCCTGTGGTTATCAAGGGAGGGGCCTGAGCCTCATCTGTGCAGATCCTTTCTCGGGGCACCTGGCTGGCTCTGAACTCTGTCCTGTGGCAGGCACTGCGGTGCTACTGGTGTGGGGATGGCATGCTGTTTGAGCCAGGCCCAGTGCTGTTGACCTCACCTAATTCTCGTCATGGCACGGTGAGGTGAAAGCAGTGTGGCCATCTCCATTCACCGCAGATGATGGGAGCTGAGTCACATAGCTGGATCGTCCAGCTCCCAAGCCGGGGCCCTTGACCACTTTGCTATTTACCATCATACCTAGATAGGACTCTTCCTTAAGGAGTCCTTCCTTGCTTCCCAGGAGGTTGCTTGGTGTTGGATTTATACTGCTCCTCTCCCCACTCCTGCAGATTCTCCAGCACAAGCAAGCATTTTGGATAATGATTGAAAATATTGAAGCAAAATGTAGTTCGGTGTTGTTACCTTGTTCTATAAGGGTTTGTGGTTGTCCATTGTGAGAGAGGAATTTGATTTTTCTTGTGACTGCTTTATTAATTAAATTGATCATATTGCATTTGATGCCATGGCGCCCTTTACTAGTGAGGACCCAGGGCTTCATGGTTATCGTGAGGACGTGGTGTGGACCCCATTTGTTTGCTTTGGCATGTCCTTAAGCATCCCTAGATAAACATACTTGCTTAGTTAACCCAGGAAGTTTATGATTAACTTTCAGCCATCTTAAATGTTCACGACATACCACCAGACTTCAGGGTGTACCGTCAGGGATTCTAGGACAGAACACCCTGCTCAGGCCTGGGGGACAACTCAGCAACTGGGGCTTGGCCCCTCCTCCCCTGGCTGCCCTGTTCTCTCACAGCTGTTGGCCTGGACCCCTGCATCCTTTCCAGGTTCATCTTCCAGGTGCAGTCCTTGCTGGAACGGACTCTCTGAGAAGGGGTGTCCGAGCTCATCTGTGGCAGGTTCTCCCCCTCACCCACAGCTGTCCTTCTGCTTGCCAAAAAACGGGGAGGCTGCAACTCTCCACCAGACTTCTACTGCAGTGTGTTGCCTTGGAGTGCACACAAAAACAGGATATCCTTCCAGAGCACCAAACCCAGGGGCAGTTCCAAATACTGGTTTCAGGGAAGCATCCTGTAGAATAATACCGACATTAAAACTTTAATGAGCCGGGCTTGCCAGCTTACCCTTCCTGTGCAGAGATGTGTCTAGGGGTGGACGCTGAGATGTTCTGCTTGAGGTACATCAGAGAGGGGATGTGGGGCATGGATGGACATCTCTCGTAGAAAGTCCTCACCTTTGCCAGCCCTCTGCTGTTGTCAAAGAATGTATTACTTTTCAGGAATGAGCCCTATGTATGTATAAGCGTGAGCAATTCTTTTCAGCTATTGACTTTTTATCCCTAGACGAGTTGTTAGCTGGGAAGAAAAATACCTTCTGATGCAAATTAGTGGTGGTGTTTCTTCTCAGTGTAACTGGTGTCTACAGGACTACCTGAGACACTGAATTAAATGTGCGGATTGAAAAGAAATTCCTGTGATTTTTTTTCATATTGTATGCTGATACAGAAGTTGAAACCAATTTAGCTTGTCATGAGATATTCTCGTTACAGCCTATCTTTTTTCCTGTTGTAAAAGTAATACAAGTAAATTGTTAATAAAGATAGAATCATTTTAGTTACTGGTTTAGGTATAAAAGGAAAGTGTAACCATGTCTAGCAACATTAGTGGAATTATTTCTGATTTTGCACCCAATTCTGATTTTCCCATGATTCGAATGGCACATACATTCTAGCACACATTTTGCAAAGGAATATTAGGATTCAGTCATATTTCTTGCTTTGTAGGTAACTTAGAGCGTGGCGTACACATTTGGCATTGAATCATGATGAATGGCTCAGTTTTATCTTGTTTATGTTATAAAACTTGATAATAAATACTTGATATACATCATTTAAAATCTTGCCTGCTTTTAAAAGAAATCTGGAGAGATACACTATTCACTGCCTGCCTTAATTTATTCTACAGTGGTTTTCATATTATTATTATTTTTTTTTTTTGAGAGGGAGTCTCGCTCTGTCACCCAGGCTGGAGTGCAGTGGCATGATCTCGGCTCACTGCAAGCTCTGCCTCCTGGGTTCATGCCATTCTCCTGCCTCAGCCTCCCGAGTAGCTGGGACTACAGGCACCCGCCACCACCACTGGCTAATTTTTTGTATTTTTAGTAGAGACGAGGTTTCACCGTGTTAGCCAGGATGGTCTCGATCTCCTGACCTTGTAATCTGCCCGCCTTGGCCTCCCAAAGCGCTGGGATTACAGGCGTGAGCCACTGCGCCCGGCCAATATTTCTAATATAATAACATGTTTCAGTATTTTTATTTGAATTTAAAAATGAAGCCAGGCCTTTTATTAGAAAGCAAGCGTAATGCGACTGTTCTGGCTGCAGCACCGGCCCTGCTGCTGGGGCTTCGTGGGCAGGCAGTTCCCCCTCACTTGAATAAACTCAACCTGCAGCTGCAAAGTTGTGATGACACATGAGCATCTTATTTTAAAAAAGTTTTTAATTGACAAGAATAGATGCTGACCATGTCTAATTCTAGCAAGAAGTAATATTTAGACACAAATACATGAACTAACTGGGGAAGAAAACCACCAGTCAGTCCCACTCCTCTTGAAAAGCATTTTTAATATAATTTTGCTTTTAATATCATAATTATCTATCAAAGTTTCTGATATATTTTGTTTTGATTTGTTTTGCATTACTAATAATTGCAGTTGTAACAGTTCAAACCAAAAATGTTAATGCCTAGAAGTTAAATAAAAGTTAAGTTTATGTACATATTTTTATATGCTAGGGTGATAAAAGACTTGAAAGCATAGAAATGCATTCAGGTAAAATTCTGGAGGTAAGTGGGATAGTATACAAGCTCACGGAGGATATAGGCACGCTTCATTTTTTGCAGTTGACTTTTTTTTTGCTTTTTACAAATTGAAGGTTTGTGGCAAACCTGTATCCAGCAAGTCTGTTGGCACCATTTTTCCAACAGCATGTTCTCACTTCATGTCTATGTCGGTATTTGTTAGCAATAAAGTATTTTTAAATTAAGGTATGCATTGTTTTAGACATAATGTTATTGCAGACTTAATAGACTGCAGTACTAGGAACTGATGTGAAGTTTCCTCAAGGAGGGGTGAGTAAGTTTTGTGCCCCAGGCACCTCTCTTGCCCCAGACCCAGCCCTGCTCTTCTGTCTGAAGCAAGTAGAGCAATTAGAAAAAGAGAAACCAGGCGTGGAGAACAGTCAGAGATGATCCAGAGCGAGGGTTGCTGGGTTTTCTGGAACACTGATGGATGAACAGAAAGGAAGTATTTTGTAATGGAAGTGCATCTCCCTGCAGTGAGGGGGAACTGAATCTGTGTTACCCAGAAACCTCCTGGTTAGCATTTGCACTTCAAAGAAAAAGAGCCCTGAGGCACCCAGAAAAGACAGCAGGCTGTGCCTAAGTACAGAGGACCCAAGGTTTGTGCACCCAGTTGGCTTGCCTGCTGAGTGTGAAGCTCTCCGGGACCCAGGGCACTGCGGAAGACAGGAAGGGATCTGGAGTGAGGTGAGCAGGTCAGGGAGACAGCATATGCAGGGCAAGTCAGCTCTCACCCCATGGGCTGCTCAGAACCTTCCTGTCAAACAGCCTCGTAAAAACAGCCTGCCTTGGGCAGCAGGGTCACCCAATTGAATACTTTTATTAGGAATAACTTATATGATAGTCATTGTACAGTTGTTTTTTTGAAGCCGTTCATAGCTGGATCCCACACATCCAGGCAGGGATGTGTGGGCAGAGCAGTGACAGTGCCTAAACTCCTTGGCACTCGCCAGTCACTGTTCTAAGTTTTGATCACATATTTCCTATGAAATCCTCTCCAAAACCTTCCGAGGTTGGGACTAGCATTCCCATTTTACAGGTAGATAATGCTGAGGCCCAGAGCTTGAGTTCCTTTTCCAGATCCCTGGAGCAGAGTGGGTGGCGGGTCAGGGTGAGCCTAGCCGGGGTCTCTGCAGTGCACGCTCTAGGCTACCTTTGGGCCCTTTTGAAGCAGCTCTTGGGTTTGTTATGGGTGTTAAGATTTTTTCTTTTTTCTTTGTGCTTTACTTCATTTCTTAAGAAGCACATATTTGTAAAACCCATGGAGTAGTGACTTGGAAAGGAGCTGGACAGAGGCAGCAGTCCACCCACAGGTGGGGTATGGAGACCGCCCGCTTCCTTCCTATTCCATGATGCTGTGGCTCTGGGCTGTTGGCTGTCCTCAGTTGCGCTTGGGATTCCTGCCAGCCAGCAGCTGCTGGAGTTAGAGGATTCTGCTCTCCAAGAATTTGCAGCTTGTGTCTGATTACCGTACCGTCTGGCAAAAAAATACGTATGATGTTTTTACATTTTTAAAATCAAAATCCTGATGTTTTTTTGTTCGTATGGTTGTTTGTTTCAACCTCTTAACTCTTGATTTTTTCTGTTAAGTGATTTTACGTCTCTTAGCTGTGCAGAATGACAATTAATGGGAAGGCTGTCTTCCCCATAGTGAGACCTTGGTAAGGGCAGACCTGACTGGTAGATTGTAGATTGGGTGTGCTCGTTTTTATATTTCATTTTAGGAGCCTCACAGTCTACTCAGAGAAAAATAAAAGAAGGCAAAATGAGTCCTCCCCATTTCCATGCAAGCCAGAACAGTTGGTTGTGTGGGAGCCTCGTGGTGCCCAGCGGAGGACGGCCAGGACCAGCTCCAGCAGCTGGGGTGCAGTGCGGGGCGCAGGGCGTCCAGGTCCAGCTGGTGCAGGTGAGAGCTGGCCAGTCACACAGGCCAGCTGTAGGCGGGGTGGGAGGGTCACGCAGGTCTGAGCAGTGTGCGGCATGCTGCATCCCCTGCCCATCGCAGCACCCCCTGCCTGCCTGCCCCTCGTGCATCCTCCCCTGTAGACTGCCCCAAGTCCTGTCTCCTCACAGCCCAGCTCCTCCCTTTTTCCCAGCCTGTCCTGCATCTGCTCAAGCTCTGAGTGTTGCTGGGACCGTGCATCCACTTCCTGAACCTGTCTGTGCACAGCCCTGCGTCTAGCCCCAGAGTAGCCCGCCTCCCTGCCCGAGGCCCCCAGGGCTGTTTTGCAGCAGGATGAGATCTGTTTGAGGCCACCCTGCCCTTCTTCTGCAGGGCTGGGGCAAAAGGGCTCCGCAGGCCGTCTCAGCCACCCCATTTCTAGGGCGGCCTGCTTGTGGCGCACTAGCAGCCTTTCTATGCTGAAGGTGGTGGGGGTCTTTTCAGTGTTTTTCTATTTTCTTTCCTACGAAACAGAGCCCCTCCAGGGCAGGCCCAGGCCCCTCCCAGCCTGTCCGGGCCACAGATACCTGCAGCTGTGGCCAGTTTCCAGGAGGTCTTTGAGCACACCTGCTTCAGCAGCCCTGAGCACACCTGCATCTTCAGTCTCAGTTTGAGGGGCTGGAATGGGGAGGGAAGATGATTTGGAAGGATTTGGGGAGAGAAGAGATATACAAGCCGGGGCTGTCTGGGTTTGGCCCAGGTGTGTGCCCCTCTTCACCACTCCACTTTGTAGATTCCCTGTGGCAGGGGATGCGGTTGCAGGCCCCACGGAAGTGCGGAGGGTGGAGGTGACGCTGGCTCTGAGTTGGGAAACAGGCACGTTTGTGGGTTCAGAGTCCTGGGAGAGTCTCGCCAAGGAAACAGGACCAGGCCTGGGGCTCAGAGAGGCAAGAGGAGGGGCAGCCTGGGCAGAGGTGGGCTGGGAAGGGGGCAGGGAAGAGGCTGCGGGCAGCTGGGGGTGGCCCTGTGCTGGTTGGAAGCTAGCGGTGAGCGTCAGATGGGGGCTGAAGCTTGTCTTAGAGAGGGGCAGGAGCACTGGTCCTTTGTTTCCAGCTTCTGAAGAGGTAAGAACTCCCCAGGAGCAGGGGCAGGGGGAGGGGGAGGACCATCCAAGGAAACACTGCCTCAGCTGGCAGGGCAGAGGTACAGAGTCAGGACCAGAGGCTTGGCAATAGGGAGACGGTAGGGAAGCTGGTGCCACCGGCAGAACAGGAGCAAGTAGGGGGTATACTTTTAAGAGATGCCTGATTAAACCTGGGTTTGAGTTCTTTTTCTGTCCCTTACCAGCTAGCGTAGTCTTGGTTACTTAAGCACTCCGGGCCTCAGTTTTGTCATCTATGAAATGGGAACAGTAGTGCAGACCTTGACACACAGGAGCTTCTCAAACAGAAGGAATGAGAGGTGCAGAGCAGCAGCACCAGGAGCTCCGCTTCGGGGTGTGAATGGCCATGGGCGGACATGCAGGTGCAGGACAGGCGAAGTGTGGGACAGATGAAGTTTCTAGCCTGGACTGTGAGGGGCCTGGCAGCCTCCCCTCTCAGGAGCCCCTCTACCTGCCCTGGTCCTTCCAGCTGGCCCGTAGGCAAGCTGGGGCATGCAGGGAAGGCCCTCTGTGGGGCCCGAGGATTTGCTGGAGAGCACTCTGGGTACACAAGGTTGGTGGGGGTACAGGGCGTGCCAGGGCACCTGCAAGGAGTTGAGGAGCGTGCCTTAGGAGGGAAATCAGTATTTGGGCTGACTGAGGGGAGGAGCTGGAGAGCAGAAGGTTCCAGGCCCAGCAAAAGCTGCTGGGATCAAGGTGACAGAATGAGAACCAGGTGGGAACAGGTAGTACCCAGCCCCCATAAACAATTCCTGCTGGGTCCTCGGGCCTCCCTTGGAATACAGGGGGTGGGCTGGTTCTGCCACGCATTGCAGCTGGAGGAGACTTCTCAGGTGAGACGAGGACCTTTGCTGCACTCTCACAGACATGTGACAGGCCTTTCTGTGTTGCCTTCCCAGGATGACCCCTCCGGCGAAGGTGTCCTGCCCTCGGCCCGCGGCCCAGCCACCTTCCTCCCCTTCCTCACTGTGGACCTGCCCGTCTACGTCCTCCAGGTCTGGATGCCTTACTGCCCTTTGTTTTTCTTATTGAGACTCGCAGAGCCTTCGACTTCCAGAAGCCTGGCTTCACAGCTGCAGGCTGGTCACTGAGGCCGCGTGGCTTGGGAGGCTCAGTGGGTTGGTTGCCAGGATGTCTTGCTGCCTTCTGGAGAAGGTGGGTGAGTGGAGCTCAGATCTGCAGGACGCTGCAGCTCCTGCTGGTAGACAAAGCAGGAGAAGTTAATATGCTCTTGAAAGTGTTGTGCCTAGGAATTCCAGTTAATTCTCTGGGAAGAGGGCTGGCCAGGGCCCAGCCTGTGGGAGAATAGACTCGGATGAATTCAGTAGTTTGCTTACGTGGTTAAGCTAAGGATGGGTGGCAGTGAATGATTCAGAGTTTGATATGAAATAGCGAAAGCGTATAGCTTATCACATTTCTAACAGTTTGCCTTACGTGTTTATATATTTACAATAAGCCATGCAAATTGTGTTTTAGTTTTTTTGCATTCAAATTGGGCTATTCAGCATTTCCCTCGCAATCAAAACCAAACTTGGACAGAAGCACTGGTGGGAGCAGAGGGCCGGGCACCCAGGCTGCAGAGGGGTGAGCTGGAGGGCGGTTTGGCAGCATGGATCAGAGAACTTCAGAAGTGTCTGCTCCATCCTGCCTGGCAGCCCCCTCCTGGGACTGCTCCTGAAAAAATAAGGTAGTGACATAATCACCGTAGCCCGGAGTCAAATGGTGCAACAGCAGGAACACTTCTTGTAGCAGGAGGAGACAGGCTAGATGGGGCCTCCATAGCCCTGGGCCACATCCTGGTCAGCTGTGAGGGCACAGGCGGACGGACACCTAATACCTGGGAGAGTGCTCACCGCGTGAGAAGTGCGGAGAAAGGGTTGCAGAAGTAAAGATGATTTTGTTTCTGTAAAAAGGCATATGGGTATATGAACATGTGAGGGTATACGTCAATGTGCAGACAGAACAATCTTGAAAAATTTACAGTACAGTATTGAGTTCATTTTTCATCAAAGAACATGTGTTTAGAATAAGGGGAGCCTGTAGTTTTGAGTAAGAGAAGTCAGGTATCTCACCACGGGCCTGGTCAGTGTCCTGCTGTGTGGAGCCACAGGATCCCTCTGCCTCCCCTCCCTCCTCCCTCTTCATGACAATGCTTGGTTTTGCAGGAGGTGCTCCCCTCATCTGGAGGCCCTGCTGGACCGGAGGCCACCCAGTTCCCAGGAAGCACTATCAACCTGCAGGATCTGCAGTGACGGCAGCCTCGGCCTGGGCAGGCCCAAGGCCACGGTCTAGGACACACCTTCCCTGAGACTCATGACATGAGCCTGGGGAGACCTCATTTGGTTTCCGTTCAGAAGACCAGCGTAGCCCTTTTGAGACTTTTGGGTACATTTATCAAAAATGTTTTCCTTTTGTTTTACCAGGAATGAGTTCGGGCTATACTCTTTGAAACTGCCTTTGTGAGCAAAGTGCTTTGGCAAGGCAAGGGTCTCCCTCAGCAGGGCTAGGTGCACTACAGCCTCTTTCCCCGTGTCCCGTTGGATCTGAGCTGTGTAGCACTTGTTGCATTACAAAGAAAAAGACTTCTGCAGGAAATAGGGTAGAGAACAGGCTGTCTAGTCAGATGCAGCTTGATCTGTGGCAAAACCAAGTGTGGTCTTTCAGCTTCAGTGTGTTAGCATCCCAGCACCTGGGATGGGGTTTGTGGGCAAGTTGATTTTGCCACACTGTAGGGCCCAGGTGGTCCCATTGCCACCGTGAAGCCAAATTCTAGCCCAAGTCTGGTAGAGCAGTCGGGCAGCTAGTTTTCGGGGGAGGATGATGTGGTGGGACAGAGGACCTCAGTGGCCTATTACGGAGCCCTCTTCCCAGACTAAATTCATAGCCGAGAGCTCGGGGGGATGGTAGAGTTAAAATTTAAAATAATTTTCTAAATTCTGTATTTGGATATTAGTGTTTAAGTGGTAATTTGGCAACAGTTTATAAAGTGATGTTCTGAATACCATAAATTATGTGTAGGACTGTGATGGCGCGTGTATGTTTTATTATTGAGGTTGATGTGCACATAATACGTCAGTGTATATTTTTACCGAGTGAGGTCTGTCTTGTAAAAGGAGACAAGGTGATCACCTTGCCCATGTTTATTTGTAAGTCTGTCAACTTAGCAATGACACAGGGTCACTCCTAAATGACTTTTTTTTTTTTTTTTGCCTTGTGCCTTTTGAAGTATGTGTTCATTCAGAGGCTGTTTTGATTCTCAGACTGAATCATTCAAACTCTGCCCTGTGTTTGTTTCTTGAATTTGGGGGTGACATCAAGTTTGAGTGAGTCCTCCCTCTGTCTTGTCTCACTCTGAGGTGCTGTCCCCAGGTGCTGTTCCACGTGGAAGAATCCACACCTCGTCGACAAATGGGTCTTCTCCACAGACCGGCGCTCTGTCACCAACTAAAGGCGAGGGGAGAACTTGCCCACCTGGCAGGCTCTTTAGCCCCAAGGTGGCCCGGAGTCCTCCTCCCTCCATGGGAGGCTTTTGGCCACCATGGCGGGTGGAGCCGCACCCACCCCATCTCCATGGGGAGGAGAGTCTTCCCCCAGGAATGCCCTCTCGGCCTCTATTTTTCTCCCATGTGCCTCCCTGGGAACGTCACCGTGAAGTGACTGGGACTGGCACCCAGTGTTCTGGGCACCAAGGTTCCCTGCCGGTGATGGGCCTAACTCCTAGTGCAAATGAATGAAAGTTTTCTTATAGTCATGCACCGAAGGTTTTTCACCTTGGCTTAATTCAAGTAGCTACATATATGGCATTCAGCCCATTGTTTCTCCTTTAGTTGGTAGTGCTGGCCCTGCCATATACCTAGCTGCCTGCTTGTATTTCTTTGGTCTTTGCACAGAGGCTGATCTCACACTACACTCAGCGTGGAATTAGCTTTTGTCTCGCAGAGCAGCTGTTTTAGATGGGAACCAAGGTGTCATGCTCTTGCCCTCAAGCATCTGCTTAGGGTTAAATGATGAACCGGCGGGGTGCTGAGATTTGGCAATGGTGGCTGCATCCTTAAGCAGGCCTTCAAGACTCCAGAGAGACATGAATTTATTCAGGTGAGGAAGGGAGCACACAGGAGACAGAGAGGACTCAGTTGGGCCACTCGAGACCCAGCCCAGTCTCTGCTTCCTCTGCCAACATCTTTGCTAAGCCTTCAGCCAGAACAGCTATGGTCTGCGAAGATTAAGTAAAGAAAAATAGCAGCTCCTCCTCCTCCTTGTCCATCAGTGTGTGCTCAGACTGTTGTTTGATCCTGTGGGCTGGGGGTCGTGAGCGGCATACCAGTGTCCTGCCTCTCTGCAGGGGAAACAAGCCCAGTGAGCCTTGCTGCCTAGTGAGCCGTATGCCCATATACCCCTGCCCCTGGTGCAGGGAGAGGCCCAGCAGCTCCAGTCACCTCCAGGCCACTCTGGTCAGCCCTGCAGGCTGAGGGCTGGAGTTAACTCTGAAATAACTGGGGGTGTGAGTCTGCCTGGCATTTATCAAGCCTGGTCTCTGGAGCACCACCTATTAGATGTGGGGGCAGAGGGACCTGCTTCCTGTTGCCAGGGTCAGAAGGCAGGAAGGGTGGGGGCCTTGGGACACAGCAGTAGGGGGACCCCAGTGACGGGCAGTGAGCAGGGCTTGGGGTCTGGCCGGAGTGTGGGTAGGGTGGTGGGACCCTGCTCCTGAGCAGAGTGTACCTGGCTGGGGTGGGTGGGCATGGCTGAACCAGGCTCAGCCTGGCATGGGCCATGGGCTGGCAGCCTGGGGAAGAGCCCCCTGCAGGAAGCAGGTCCTGGGAGAGGCCTTGCTCCGAAGGCAGCCTGTCTCCCTCAGAGCCTCATTGAATGCCTTCAGAGTGGTAGCATCAGGGGCTTGGGCTGCAGGACCTCAGCTGCCATGCTGTCTTGGGACCCCCTCCAGCAGAGACCCCCCAAGGCGACCCTGCCTACCTTCTTCTTGATCTCAGCCTGGGCGCGCGCCCGGGCCCGCTGCAGATGCTCCTCCTGTAGGATCTTTTGCATCTGGAGCTTCTCTTCTCGAAGTCTGGGTGGCAAGAAATGACATTGAAAACTGGGGGGACCTGGAAGGTGTTGTGTAATCTCCACACGGAGTCCCCAGGCCAGGCCGTGTCCTCCCTCAAGAAAACTCCCAGCTCCTCTTCACCTCTTTTGCCAGGTCAAGTTCTCAATACCTATCCACAGCCAAAGCACCGCTGCTTTTGGCCAAGGTGGCCTAGGCCCAGAGGAGGACAACCAGGGCCCTGCTGCTCCGAGGCCCTGGCTCTGGCCTCCTGCAAGGGCTGAATCTAAGGTTCATCCAGCAGACCCCTCCCAGAGGCACATTTCTCTGAATCTACACCCATGGCCTGATCTGTGCACCTGTGGCCTCCCTTGCCACCATGAAGGCCAGCATCCCCCTGGGGCGAGAGTCCTGTCTCCTTCCTATATATACTCTCAGTCATCAAAGCCTGGTCTAGTGCCCACTCTGAGCAGGGTACCAGGGACCCAGAGGAGAAGCCCCTGTGCTTGGGGGGACGGATGGATGTTTGCAGATTGCGCTGTCTCAGAGCCCTGCACGGGGTGGATGAACCGGGCTGCCCACAGGCCAGGGAAGCCACAACCCCCATCTACCTTGGGTTCAGGCTGGTGTCCCGACAGATAGCAAGCTGCTGCCCATCTGCCCCCCTCCACTCCCCTCTGAGCTGAAACTCCCAAGGCTCTCTGAGCCTCTGCACTTTGTCTTCCGCTCCAGCAACACTGCTGTAGCCATGCCTTCTCTCCTGGGTGCTGGCAGCTGCCCTTGCCCTCAGCCTCCAGCCCCTCCAGTCCAGCCCCAGAGGGAAGAATCTAACCACACCCTACCTGGCCGTGTTTGCCCCACTGCTTAAAGCCCTCCACTGCTGTTCCATGTATTTGAGGCTGACCGTGCTAGCCACACTCTAACTAAGCTCCAGCTCTTCTATCTTCTAGACCCTGTCCCTCCCTGAGCCTCCTGGCCACATCGAGTCACTGTCGTTTGCTCTAGGAAGCTTTCCCTAACCACCCCCCACTTGACTGTGATGCCCCTCTAGATCCCCCCAAGACATGGGCTTTTGTCTCTCATAGCACAGAGCAGGAGGGGCCTGTCTCCTGGGAGTGCTTTGAGGGTGGGGCCTGTATGTGCCCTCTGCCCTCAGGGCCAGCCAGGACACAGCAGCTGGCAGGGAGAGCCTAGAGCTCACCTGATGCGCCGCTCCTTCTCCTTTGCCCTCTCGGCCTGCTCGATCTTGACCTGGGGCACGTGCTCCAGGTTCTCTAGCAGCTCATCCAGCTGGTGCTCAATGATGGTCAGCATCTGCACGGTGCCCAGGTTGGCCTCCTGCTGGGTGCCGGTGCAGTGCCGGTACACATCCAGCACCTTGCAGTTCAGGCTCTCTAGCAGCTTATCCTGTGGAGGAGGTGGCTTCCAGCAGGGTGCTGGCAGGCGGAAACCCACCCCCATGCCAGTGCCTTCAGCGGTGGCCTGCTGACCTCCCAGGGTGGGGGCCACCGCTTGGCACACAGTGGGAGCTCTGAGAACATGGGCTAAAACAGAACTTGGGGAACTGGCTTTTCTTGGCCAGAGCAGCCTATCCCCCGGGCCCCCTGGAGTCAGCCAGATCCCTGGTTCCAGCCCCTCTCCCAGCTGCCTCTGGTGAGCCAACGGGGCCCAGTCCCCTCCTCCAGGGAACCCTGCACCCTGGGCACCCCACAGGGCTATGTCTTCTCTGAGACTGTTCTGACACTTAGAAAACAGATAACAGCCCCTCCATGTGGGCTATATGAGGAGAGAGGAGCAGCAGGCAGGCAGCTCAGCCCAGCCTGGGCACAGCCAGTGCCCATGGATTCTGGCTGTATCGGGAGCGCTGTCTTGCTCATGGCTGCATCCCACACCCTTGGCCCTGTGCCTGGCACACAGCAGGCACTTGACAGTAGGAAGCCATCCCATGCCCGGGGTGGCCCCAGGCTGTCAGGTTGGGAGCGGGCTGAGCCTTTGTCTGGGTCCTGGCTTCTGCTGCTCAGAACACCACTGGCTTTCTCTTCTCTCCCAATTCTCTCACCCTCTCAGCCTGGCTTGAGGACACGCCTCTTCCCCCCCTTCAGGATCACCTTGCCAGACACAATATATGTGTTTAAGAAGCAGACACATTTGTTGAATAAAAGAATGAAGCAATGGATGAGGCGTGGGGGCAACCAAGCTGGCTGGCACAGGCATCAATACATGTGGTGGCTCCTGGAGGGAGGCAGGGCAAGGGCAGCTGCAGGGCACTCACCCGGGCCTTGTCCTCCATCTTCCCAAGGGCTGTCAGGGCTCCTCCAGTGGGTGCCCAAGGGTCCCTCCTTACCCTGGGCCTCTGGCCACCTTGATCCCCAGCCTACCTGCTGATCGCCCTTGTACTCGCCGAAGTGGAAGACTCGGGCTTTGAGCTCCAGCTCAGCTGCTGTGTCCTCCTCCTTGGTGATGGACATCATCATTGTGGTGACCCACTGCTTCAGCTGGTTGACCTCCCTGTCCCTGGAAGAGGGGAAAACCGGCAGGGCATCAGTCACTCAGCACAGCCCTGGGCACATCGCTTCTCTGAGCCTGTCTGTACAGTGCTTTGCCCCTACCAGCTGTCCTGAGGGCTGAAGGATCATGGGTGCCAAGTCTCTGCATGCCCAGGGGGTCAGAAATGCTGGTAGAATGTAGGGGAAAATGTAAAATATTTAACAATCAACATTAAAGAAAATAAACAGC